>NW_013171807.1:0-264545 GCF_000001405.40 Homo sapiens
CTTCTAGGTATCTTTCCCGGGCAAACATATATACATGAGAAAACATGTACATGGATATCTACTGCATACTGTTTGTAACAGAGAAAAGACAGAAAAACCTATCTATCAAGTAGGGGAGTATATAGTCTATGGTTCATTCTACAACACAGAAATTATACATAGCATATTATGATGTTGGTTATGTTCTTTGTTTTATTAACATGGCCTAATAAATGTTAAAAACTAAATCTGGTTATCTAAATATCTCTAAAAATGGCCTTTAAAAATACTCATATAGAAAACATAGCATACCTATTTCATCTATAAAGATGATGGATGGTTGTAGCTTTATGGCAAGGGAGAAGACAGCAGCAGCCAATTTCTGAGATTCTCCATACCACTTATCGGTCAGTGTCGAAGGCTGAAGGTTAATAAATCGACAGCCTGCTTCTTTGGCTGTGGCCTTGGCAATCAACGTTTTACCACAGCCTGGAGGCCCATAGAGAAGAACACCTGGAAATGAATATGTTATTTATTACCTTTAAGGGGATATTTGCTTCAATTTATATGATAATCAATAGAATAGTAATTCCTTCCACAAAAAACTTTCCCAATATTCAATTCTGCTTTTATTTAATCTTGTTTATAGTAGGTAAGATAGAAGAAAGGAAGATGCCATGTTCTAAGCTCAGTGTCAGTTAAGAGCATGTATTTGGGGATTACAGCATCCTGTGCCCTCTCCCTTCATGAAAAGGTTCAGTTTAAATGCTCACCTTGACATCCAAATTCATACCACTTTATCAACAGTTGAAAAACAAAATCATCTAAGGCCCTCCACCTTCACAAGCAAACAATGCACCATAGTGCTTTGATATTAGCCTACAGAAGGTAAACAACTTCAAAACAGATTGTGGCAAACACTGTTTTGCTGTTGCTCACAGATTAAGTTTTAGCCAAAGGACATGTGCCTTTTTCCAAACAATCTTTTCCTAAAAGAAACAGAAATTATCAGTCACTCCTGTTTTAATTTCCAAAGAATAAAACTATATTATTAACCTATGGTCTCCATTAACAGCATTTTGCTGCTAAATACAATTTAAGGTAACACTTTTAATACAAGGGATCTAGAGGTTGGGATCTTGAACATTTTGGGAACCACCACCAACTGTTTCTCAACTAAAATGAGATAGCATTTTCTAAATTTAATAATATTAAATATATAATAATACTAAATATATAATACTAAAATTATAATTTTACCAAATTACTAAACTCAGTACTACATGATCTGGCACCTAAACTTAGTACTAAGATGGTTATTAAAATAAACCATCTACAGACAGCCCTAACAAAAACTGTAATAGGCAGACCTCTCAAAATATTTGTTTAATTCAAAGCTCAACTTTTCCTATGAAACAGTATTTTTTAAAATGCCATCTATATAGATGGCATGCTAGGGTGAACTGGAAGGGATCTGGAGGAGTCCAAAATTTTCTTATATATAATAAAAATAAAATTCAAAATGAGAGGAAAAATAATTTTGTATGAAAATTCCCAAAAATATCTCAATTTAAAAAAAAAAAGAAATCTGCACCTGATTCCATAACTCTAGCAATTTTATTTTTCACATCAAACACTTCAAAATAATGTTCAAGCTCTTCCTCAAGCATACATAGAATTTTCTACTGGTCTTTATAATTCTTGAAGATTCAAGTTCTAACAGCAACTAATCTAAGTTTAATCATATGAAACTAAACTTTTCTAAAGCTGACTTTTAAATTTAAATCCATAAGCTTTACCAATACATGTTAATTGTATTTTCAAGCATTCTGCAAATTTTAATTAAGTTCACTTAGGTGCTTAAAATTTGGTTAAGTCAGTTATAATTTGAATCTTCTACTGACATTTTTCTTTTGGATGGCTCATATGAAACAATAAAGAATAGTAATCTAAAACCACCTGTTTGCAGATACTTGGAATTATTAATTTCATCATTTTGATCACATAATTTAATATAGAATGCATATCCATTATAAAACTTTTATACACATGTTACTTAAATCTCTGGGTTTTTATATTGTTACACTTGGTACTTTCTTAAAAACTAAATTTCAAGGTTTTTAGAACAAAGTATTTATGCAAAAGCCTCCATATTTTGTTGACTTTGTAGCTACTCTACCACTTCATAAACATATTCAGAGATTTTAGAGTGTTGTGTTTGATTCAAATTATTCATCTATCACTTGGAATATTTCCCTTCTAGTAGATCGGTTTTGTTACTTTTTAGCAGGATTAAGTTTTTCCTCTTCAAGGATTACAATTAGTGTTATTAACTGAGCAGTTATGAGTGTCTGGAGTGCCTAAAGATTCAATATGCAAAGAAAGCTTGTGGCTATCCTAACTTTCTGGGGACAGGCTGTAACAGAGAAGGTACACAAGCTGTCAATATTCCCTTCTTGACCTGGGTAGTAGTTACATAAGTGTGTTAGCCTTATAGTTATTCAGTAAACTGCTTTATCCCCATTCCTGTGGCTCACGCCTGTAATCCCAGCACTTTGGGAGGGCGAGGTGGGCAGATCACGAGGTGAGGAGATCGAGACCATCCTGGCTAATACGGTGAAACCCCGACTCTACCAAAATATAAAAAATTAGCCAGGCATGGTGGTGCACGCCTGTAATCCCAGCTACTGGGGAGGCTGAGTTAGAAGAATCTCTTAAACCCGGGAGGCAGAGGTTGCAGTGAGCCGAGATTGCGCCATTGCACTCCAGGGTGGGCAACAGGGCGAGACTCCGTCTCAAAAAAAAAAAAAAGTTACACTAAAATTCAGATTGGCTTGTCTGACAAATTATCAGTGAGTCTAGAGATAACGTTATTTAGAGTGGCACCTTTTCTATATACTTTCCTAAAATGGTCTCCACAGTGATAATAATTACGATGGGTGACAAATGAGTACTGCAATGAATGTGAGGCATTTAGCTTTTATTATTAGCTTTGCAACCTTTAAATTAGTTCTTTGAGCTTAATCTGATACTTTTATAACCAACTTCAACAAATAAAAACTGTGTTTATTATCTTAAGCTTTATAGAGGCTTAAAAATTTAAACTCCTTTTTAAGACGGATGTTTTTGGTAATGGCTTTACTTAGTAAGTGCTATATGCAAATAAAAGATTTAGGAAGAGGATGGGCACAGTGGTTCACACCTGTAATCTCAACACTTTGGGATGCTGAGGCAGGAGGATAACGAGCCCAGGAATTCAAGACCAACCTGGGCCACAAAGTGAGACCCTGTCTCTACAAAAAATTAAAACATTAGGCAGGCATGGTGGTACATGCCTTGCAGTTCCAGCTACTCAGGACCCAGAGGCAGGAGGATCATTTGAGCCCAGGAGGCTGCAGCAGTGGGCTATGGTTACACACTCCAGCCTGGTGACAGTAAGACTCTGTCTCCAAAAAAAAGGATAAGAACAAAAAAAGTATTGGGATACACAAATCTAAATTTGAGATAATCCTCATTTGTGACAAATATTCCACCTTATTAGTGACTATTTTTCTTTTTTGGACAACTGTTTATTGGCTTTAACATAAAATTTGTCCAAATGGTGCAAAAATACACATCTATATAAATTAAATCTACTTAAATATAAAGTACTTGAGAAGAATATGGGTCTTTATAACAGAAAATCTATTTTTAAAATTATTTTTTTCCTTAGGTTACTCACAATTTAAAGAATGCACCAAAACATGAAGTATAACATTCACAAATGTAATAAAATTTATATACCAAAATAACAATACAGAATTCAGAAAGTTTACAGAGGAAGCCATATGGTATTCAGATGGATTTTGTTGGAATTTTAACTGTTGTAAATTTTTAGACGTTTGAGGGAAAAAAATCACTTTTTAAATATAACCGTCAATATCTTATGTGTGCCCCCATTTCCCTGTCACCAATTAGCGGCATCATGGTGTGCATTAGCTTCAACTTTGTATCTATACACAATAGTTACATATGACCTCATGCACTGCATGGATACTGCAGTCACTCTCCAATTATCTTTTTGTAGTCTGTGTGAAGCAGTGATCACTTTCAGCTCAGATAGCAATAAACTGTCTAAGGATAACATAAAATTGTCAATAACTCTAACCTAGGTAACCTAGTTCCAGTCCCAAAATGGAACAAACAAGGATGCATCTGATTTTACACTCTGCTTCTATACACCAATATCCAATTTATATTGAGGGTCAAAAAGTAAATTAATGATCTTCAAAACTGTTATTCTTGATTAAAAATTGTCCAGACATAAAGGTGAAAAAGTTCAAATAGCAAAACTTTATATAATCAGAAAATATTCATGTAACTTTTAAATTGGACAATGCTTTCAAATAAGAAGCAAATTTACATATAACTTTTGAAGTATTCCCTGCATAATTTGGTATCCACTCTGCTAAATGGGTCTTTAAACCAAGTCCAACTGGAGAAATCACCCAATTACCTGGTCTAAGATAACACTGATAAAAAAAGAAGCTTTCTCCAACAGCATATAAAAGGTATTTTACTTTCCTAAATTCACTAGCATTGTCCAATTGAGAACTAAAAATGCAGAAAAGTCATTTTTTGTTCAGACTACAAATAACCTGGAAGAGGGTAGTAAAGACTTAACTAATCCAACTATAGCCATACATTTTTGATCTGGGCTCAAATAATCATTCAAAGTTTTTTTTGCGGCAGGGGGGAAATCACAATAAACTGAGTGTTTTGTTAGGAAAAACTATAAGCAGTGTTGTTATTTCAGAAAACAAAAAGAAATACCTAATAGCTTTGTTGTTTTAATAATAAAAGAACATGTCATTTTTGCTGTTAACTGTCATCCTCCACTTACCAGAAACAAAAATTATGTAGTTCATAAAAATGCACAGGTACAGGCTTCAGTTACCTTTGATATGTAAATTAATGCACTTTATTGATATAGCTGCAAATTTAGAAAGATTATAAGCATTATAATTTAAACATACATAATGCTATTTTGATATTTTTAAAGATCCACTTTTTTGAAAAATCAATGTGACTAATAATTTAAGTCTTGACTAACAACATATCAAACCCATATAGTTTTGGCAATGCATTAGATAAGAGTTTCTGCTAGATGAAAATAAGCTATCTCGTGAAATTTGGATCTGAACGCCATAGTAACACACACATATATCTCTCACTGTAAATTATTTACACTCCATCTGAATCACCTTTAACAAGCCTTAAGCATGACAGAAATATGTGCACTAGCTGGGCACAATGGCTCATGCCTGTAATCCCAGCACTCTAGGAGGCCAACGCAGGTGAAGAACTTGAACTCAGGAGTTCAAGACCAGCCTGAGCAACATGGTGAAACACCATCATTACCAAAAATATAAAAAAAGAGCCAGGCGTGGTGGCACATGCCTGTGGTCCCAGCTACTCAGGAGGCTCAGGTGGGAGGATCACTTGAGCCTGGGAGGCGGAAGTTGCAGTGAGCCAAGATCATGCCACTGCATTTCAACTTGGGTGACACAGTGAGACCCCATCTCAAAAAGAAAAGAAAAGAGAGAAAAGAAAAAAAAAGAAAGATTTGAATGAACAAGAATTACACTTAATGATGCAGTTATGAGCATATTCAATTCTTGAGTTCCAAGACTTTCAAAGTGATTTTGAATAAGCAAACATCTCCATCAAAGTTAAATATTTAATTTCTAGTTCATCTGCAGATAAATATTTCCTGAAAAAGAATCATTACATTCTAAAAATAAGATCGTTGGAGCTGTGAAACAAGAAAAAAATGTCTTGGCTTGAAAACAAAACAAAACAAAACAAAAAACTTGTATTATGACTTTGAATCTTTCTTTAATCTTGATTTTCCAAATTTTAATTTACTTGGAAGTAAGAGAAAAGAAATTGAAGGAGATTATTTTAACAAGTATTTTAACATGTAAATACAGGAAAAAGTTTATCTCAATTTCAGAAGCTGAAGAATGAGCAATTATTTTAAGAAACTGTTCACATAGATCTCAGCATCCTCTTGAGAATCTGATTTCACAAAAACTAGTTCTACAATGGCAGAAAGTTTCAATGTTTTCTAGGATTTTAATGCTTTAGGCGAATATATACCTTTACCATACCTTTTGGAGGCTGCAGAAGCCTGGAATTCTCAAACAAATGTTTCTTTTTGATAGGTAAGATGACTGTGTCTTTCAGATCCGTAATGACATCATCTAAACCTGCTATATCACTCCAAGTAACCTGGCAAAAGTTAAGGTCAACATGAATTTTACTACAAATGTACACTCACTAAAGTAAAAAGAACGCTCCCAAAATTACAAATGTTAATCTGATGATTATACATAAATAAGTTAAAATCATATATTAACATAAGTAAAGACTTTTCCAAGCAGTAATGAAATAAACTGCTATGAAACTGGAAAAAGGAATTTAATAGTCAACTATCTACTATTAAAAATCTGTAAGTCAGGTACTCAAAAATCTGCAAGGGTCTAATAAGCTAAATTCATTCCACTTGTAAGGAGAAAATACTCTGCTGCAAGAATACTGAGAACCAGCTGAGACATAATTTAGCACTGGCTGATGGGAAAGAGCTCATCAGGAATGTACCTATTTTATACAGGATGTTGTCAAGCATCACAGAAATTAATTTTAGAAATAAGGTCTTACAAAACATAGCTTCTGAATTTTATCCATCAAAAGTAAACCTATGGACCAGGCGTGGTCGCTCACGCCTGTAATCCAGCACTTTGGGAGGCCAAGGTGAGCGGATCACTTGAGGTCAGGAGTTCGGGACCAGCCTGGCCAACATGGTTGAAACCCCGTCTCTACTAAAATTACAAAAAAAAAAAAAAAAAAAAAAAAATTAACCAGGTGTAGTGGTGTGTGCCTGTAGTCCCAGCTACTTGGGAGGCTGAGGCAGGAGAATTGCCAGAACCTGGGAGGCGGAGGTTACAGTGAGCCAAGATCATGCCACTGCACTCCATCCTAGGTGACAGAGTGAGACTCTGTCTCAAAAAAAAAAAAAAAAAATTACAACTATGTTAAAACTTAAGGAAGTATCTTTATAAATAAAAACAGGGCATACGTATTTTCAAAATAGACAAGAAAAACCTGATTCAACTTGTCCTGAAAGGACTGGCACTTGTCCTGAAAGGAGCTGGAGTTGGGGCCAATCAGAAGCAATACTTTACAATAGATTCATTTCCTTCAAAATGTAAAAAAAAATGATAAAAAGGGAAGGTGCAAACCAGCAGCCAGATCTGAAAAAAAAAATAACTTTCACTGTAACAGCAACAAAAAACTAAGTCTGTTAGTACAGATTTATTCAGAAATTAATATAGGCAGGGTTCCAAGAAGGTACCATTGTAAATCTATAAACCAAATTCAAATGCAGGCTTAATTCTAGGGTGTGTGTATGTCTCTGTATACACAGATATTAAGACATTGCAGACTTTTATTTTCTAGATATGGAGATGGGACTACTTCATTCTACTTATTTATAGCAATATAACATTAATGTATTAGGCAAATATTTTCTATTTATAGAATTTATAAATGTATACTTATTGTTACAAAATATTGATATAGGATCTTATACATTACATCAATCTCATCCTCAAAATAATCCTTATGAAGTAGGTAAAGTAGGTATTATTATCTCTAGATTATACATGAGGGAACTGAGACTCAAAGAGGAAATCATTTGCCAAGGCCATTAATGGAAAACCTGGGATTTAGTATCCTGTGTTATCATACCATATTATGAAAATTTAGGTTTAAACTCTATAAAACAAAAATCCACATGACTTAAAGCAGTACGCTTTATACACCACAAAGGCAAATACATAAAAGTTTTACTAAACAAATGCGTACAGAAAAGAGTTAACAAAGTAGGCCTGAGACTGTTGTCCTTAGAAAGGCATATTTGCAAGATTGGCCCTTGGCTGGCATGTGGGAACTTAGATTTCAGAAGAGTGCCACAATTTCTTGACAAGAACAGCTCACTGTGCCTAAACTGTTTGTGCAAACAATATGGTTTATGGTGAAACATCCATTTTCCTTCTGGGAGTCTAGAATTTTGGTACATTTAAGGGAAGAGGAAAGCTATATAACCAGCCCCCAATAAATATGTTGGGGACTGAGTCTCCCGTGAGCTTTCCTGGTGACAACACTGCACATGTGTTGTCACAACTTGATGCACTAATTAAGCACTGTGTGACTCCACTTGGAATCTTGCGCCTGGCTTCCTTCAGACTTCATCCCATGCCCCCTTCCCTTTGCTGATTTTGCTTTGTATCTTTTCAGTGTAATAAATCATATACAGGAATACAACTATATGCCGAGTCTTATGATTCAGCCTAGAGAATCAAAGAACCCGGCCGTGATCTTTAAGACCCCTGACACAAAATGCTAGAACCCACCCCCACCTCTAAAAAAATCTTAAATAAGATTAAAGATACATACATGCATATTAAGAGGGTCTACAAGATGAGCAGCAATACTCATTTCATATTCTGAGAGCTTCACATTTTTCACTCCAATTTGCTTCATTAGTTTTTCTGCCTAGAATGAAAAGAACAAACAACCTGCTTTGATTTGATATTTAGATACTGGCACTTCGAAATAGATATATGTGAAGTCTAAAGAGCAATGAACAGATAGATATACAAGAAATTTCCAAGGATATTCTAGGCCCCTTGATCTTAGCCTTCTCCATTGTGAGCCCTCAGGTAACGATTTGAGGCTCTAATCCACTGAAATCAGGGAAATTTAACCACCTTTCAGGAAATGAGAAAATAGGGTATGTGACTGAAGAGATCTTACACTTCCAAGAGGGGCTCCCATTGTTTCAATGAGACTCTAGGATACAGCTTAGTTTCTCATTCCTAACAGGACTATCATGACTGGCAAAGGTGAAATCTCAAGAGGAAAGACAGAGGAGTTAAGGAGGGCAAGAAATGTATAAGTGAAGTTTCTTTAAACTGAGTATCTGAAACAGATGTCCAACTTCCTTCAAATTAATCCAGGTATCTACAATAGATGGCCACACATATCCCATTTTAAATTGCTCTGTTATGCTGTCCCTTTTAGGTAGAAGACAATTCTTGGGACTAGGCAACCAGAGTTATAATAAAAATAACTCTAACAACCAGCATTAAACCTATGAGTTCTAGCAATACAACAAAGCTTTCAATTAAAATAAAGATAATGAAAAACATTTACTGAGTGTGCCAAATATTATGCCAAAATACAGTAAAAGGATTAACTTATTGAATCCTAAGAGCCAATACTATGAGATAGTCATAATATTTTCCCAATCACAGAAAAAGAAACTGAAGTTTAGCATGATTAAGTAATTTGCCTTTGGTTAAAAGTTAGCCAAGAGAAGAAACAAGATATGAATTCAAGGAGTCCAACACTAGAGTCCATACTTGACTACCACACATATTTGCCCTGATTTCTTCAATTTTAAGACTGGAGTTTATAACCATGAAAGAGTCTTTAAAAATCTATACATAACAAATTCAAATTTCAATTAAGTGAACATTTTAGAAATGAAGGGACTCTGGTAAATCATGTTTACCTAAGTTTTGGTTATTACATTTTCCTAAAATGCTTTTGATTATATAGAATCTTGCTGTCTATCCAGGGTTATGACTGCTCTAAAAGGAAATTCACATCACACAGCATTTTAGTTATAGAATAGCTAGGAGGTTAGGATAAATGTGTTTAATAGCTTTAAAAAAAAAAAGTACTATGGGGGCCAGGAATGGGGGCTCCCAGCACTTTGGAAGGCTGAGTTGGGAGGATTGCTTGAACCCAGGAGTTCGAGACCAGCCTGGGCAACACAGACGCCATCTCTACAAAAAATCAAAACTTAGCTGTATGTGGTAGTACACGCCTGTAGTCCTAGATACTCTGGAGGCTGAGGGAGGAGGATTACTTGAGCCTTGGAGATCAAGACTGCAGTGAGCCATAATCATGCCACTGCATTCCAGCCTGGACAAGAGACAAATCTTGTCTCATAAGAATTTTTAAAAAGTGCTATGAACCACATCACATAATCAAACAGGATACATCTCCTGTTTATCTTGCCCCTGTAAAGTCACTGAATCAATAGATAATCTTTTGTAGATCCCTTTGTCACTTGTAAATACCTTCTCTTTTACTGCCATAAGTCGTTTACATGTCAGTTAAAAAAGGTATCCTATTTTAGCATCTGAATAACATTTACTCTTCATTTTCATTATGCTACAGTAAATGTGAAACCCTCCCACATGTGTTCTTTTTAAGCAACGCTCGAAGACAGTGGTTTTCCCAGGGGACATTTGGCAAAGTCTGGAAATACTTCTGGTTGTCACACTTGGGGGTAGGGTGATACCAGCATCTAGTCAGTAGAGGTAGAGATGCCACTGAACATTCTACAAGGCACAGGACAGCCTCCCTTTCCCCATCCCAAATAATTATTGGCCCAAAATGTCAACAATGCCTGATATGAGAAACCCTGTTTTATTCCCTATTAGCTAGTTGCCCTGAAAATTTTACTCTATGCCTAAATAAAGCTTTTAAAATTGCCTCTTGATTTAAAGAATAGCCTTTATTTCTATCTGGAACTTCCTAAATAAAAAATGACAAATGAATAATGTTTAGTTTACATAGAGACAGAAAATTTTATCTTTTCAAGTTTACCTAAGATCTCTTTCCTGCAACAGCAGTCCCACTTTAACAATCTCTTCAGATTGTATTCACAATATATCATTAAAAGAAAAGGGAAAAGGAACTAATGGTTTTATTGAGCACCTACCATATCTAGCACTGTGCTAGGTAATTTATAATCAACCCTTAAAATTAACCTGAGAAGTAACTATTATTATCCTTATTATTTAGATGAGGAATTTACAGGTCAGAGAAATTAAAAGAAATGTCAGGATTATACAGCTAGGAAGTGACATTAACAGAGCTCAAATACTGATTTGTCTAATTTCGAATCCCATATTTTGCTGAAACACTAATACTCTTCATTTGGGAGAGCAGAACATGGCTGGCAAATAAATGGAACACACCAAAAAACACACCAAAACTGCCACCAAACAAACTGTGTCCCAGGAAGAAGTTATACAATTGCCTAGTTTTGACACTTTTAAGTGAGCCACTAGATAAGCAGAAAAACAAAATTATGATTGGACTACTGTAAAAATGGCTTATGTTTATGCATACTTTCTTGTTTACAGCTTAATGAAAGTTATATTTTCTGATCACCATGGTTTGCTTGTTTTTTTTTTTTTTAAAGTAGGTCTCTCCAAGTGGTTGTTGTTTCTGTGGAGGGAAAATGAGTTGGATGGGGAGTGTGTGGGGGCCAAAAGAAGGAGGAAAACTTACTTTTTACTGTATACCCATATTTTTTTGACTGTTCCAAATGATTTTCTACCCTTTCACACTATTTTTTACCCTTTCATGCTATTTCACTTTTTTCTCCATGCAAAGTATTATTTTTTCAAAAAGATTAAGAAGTGGAATAGGAAATATTAAACTAATATTTTTGCCTGGAGTAGGGAAGGCAGAAATGGGGACAAGCAGCAGCAAAGAAAATACTTATGAGCTAACACTCATTTCATTCAGGTTCTAAAGATTCATAAAATTGTCCTTTTGGAAGAATCAGTTTAGAAAGTTGGACATGTCATTAACAAGAGTGAAAAATCAGAGATGAACGAATTAAACTTAAGTTAGAAACAAGGACAACCTCTGATCTTTTTACCAAGGTCATAGCTGAAGTGTTCCAATTTAAGTGTATGCAGACGAATCACTGATATAAAGCTTTTTAAAAATGCATTTAAAAGGGAACTAACAAGGATTCTGAGTATGTAAGTATCTTTATATAATAGATATAATCATTTATTACAAACTTACATTAAAACTCTGGAAAAACATCTTCTACACATGTGGAAACAGTGATCCTCTTTTAGGGTTAGTGTACTTATACCTCTTTCCTCTCATTTTACCATTATGTATTCTGAAAGTTCTTGGGTAAGATGGCTTTGTACTGTAAAAGGAAAATAAATCTTGGGGGCCCCAAATCACTAAGCTAAAGGGAAAAGTGAAGCTGGGAACTGCTTAGGGCAAACCTGCCTCCCATTCTATTCAAAGTCACCCCTCTGGCTCACTGGGATAAATGTATATCTTACTGCCTCCTTTAGAGAAGCTAGTAAGAAATTCAAAAGAATGCAATCATTTGCCTCTTATCTACCTATGACCTGGAAGCCCCCTCCCTGCTTCAAGTTGTCCTGCCTTTGTTTCCAGTTCCGGACAGAACCCAATGTTCATCTTACATATGTTGACTGATGTTTCGTGTCTCCCTAAAATGTATAAAACCAAACTGTTCTCTGACCACTTTGGGCACATGTCTCAGGACCTCCTGCAGCTGTGTCATGGTCCCGTGTACTCAACCTTGGCAAAATAAACTTTCTAAATTAACTGAGACCTGTCTCAGATATGTGGGGTTCACATTTTGGTGACCATGAAGGGATTCTGAGTGGAGGTGACCCTGACCTTTGACAAATATCCTATCGGAGCTTGACACCAGCATGAGCTAACTTTATGGCTCAAACCGATAGTACTATTTGCTGATGTCTGTGAGTATCCCCTCCAGATAACACCTGATCTCCCAAAATTTGGTGGAGACCTAAAGTTTATTTTGCAATACAACTCCCTTTTTTTGGAGTTTCACTTGCTTCCAACAAGGAAAGCAAGATTTCCTGCTTACATAGCGATGGACAGAAGGTAACTCCTTTACAGAGTTTGAGCTCACTCCTAGCAGGGAAGATGAGTTTGACTTTTTTCCTGCTTCTAGGATGTAGAGAGCAGTCTTCAGCCTGAGACCTATCCCTGGGTAAGTAGCTGAATTGGGGTTTTGTCTTGGCTAAAGTTTAACAACTAGCTGGTCTTAATTTCTCCTTACCATTAGCACAGTCAGTGATCATATTGTTGGGTTTTTTGTTGTTTGTTTGTTCTGGTCTTTCTCCCATCAGATTTGACAAACTCTACTTGACTTGGTCAAATCTGAGAATTCCAAATTATGGGTAACAAAACCTCTCTAATTTGGCTAAAATTCCTCGCAGCTGCAAAAGAGGAAAGAAAAAAAAACAAAAACAAAAATCCATGCGCTTGGTTTCTGTGTTTGCTTACTGTCTTAAAAAAACAAATGTTCTTTCATTTACTTTTCTTCCACCCTATACCTCCTTCCCCCTTTGCCATCTGTAGTACCAAAAAATCTAGAGAAGGTTTCTAATGACTTGAACCCATTAAAAGAATTCAGAACAAAGACACCACTCACCCCTTTTAGAGTGTTCTGTTTTCCTTGTGGAGTTTCAAGAGTCATGGGCAGAGTCTTCTTAAGTCTAAACCTCTGTTTCCATATTATTCCATGACCTGACTTGTTTGGCTTGGGGGTACCAGAGATTATCTTGTACCACGAGAGGATTTGACCTTGGTGTGTGTAATGGTGAATGAGAGCTACAAGTTAGGGGTGGCTGAGCACAGTTTACAGGAAGTGGTCTTGGCTGTTTTTTCTCCTACGAAGTTGTTAAGGATCCTGATTCTACTTCAGAGATGCATTCTAAAGGGTCTTCTCTATCGCCTTTTCTACCAAAATTAATCTCTGTTTGGCTTTTCTGCGCACATTTGTGTGAGGAACTGAACTGTTGTTTTTGCAGGTAAATGACAGATTGAGTTTTCTCAGCTCCAAAGAGAAAGGGTGTTTTGCTCCCCCCAGCCAAAAGGTGCCCCTGGGTGACCGGGGGCCTAATGGGAGTGTACAGGGGGTTAACCTCCCTCGACGTGCAGTGGCCTTACAAGAAAATCCCCAACAAAAATTAATTTTTAAAAAGGCTTGTCCAGGAAACACACATAAGTCCTGATCATCCCATGTTTTGAGCCCTCTCAGAGGTCATGGACCTCTGGAGAGAGAAACCAAGACATGTAAGAGGGCAGAAACAACTCAGTGGTGACACACTGTGGAGTCCTGCCCACAAGCAGCACACATCCATCCACACATAAAAACCCTAGGCCACAGCTCAGTTCCTCCTTTTAAGAAAAAGTGGGAAACGTTCTAAGAATGAGGAGAATGATCCCCTTTCAAGCACTCCGTAGGTTTTATGGCACCACTACTTGCCAGAGTTTATGTAAAACGGAAGTAACATGGTCTTTGTGCACATTTACATTAAAGAAAAAGAACCCTAAGGTCGACCTACAAACTACAGAGTTGCTACGTTCTCTTTCTGTGTCTTTCATTTCTGGCTGCTTTGAATCTGCTGTTATTTTTCTACTAAGATAAAAACCACTGTTTGGATCTAACAGGTTTTTTGTGTTTTTTTTTTGCAAGCCAGTGAATTTGTATTTATCTCATGGCTAAAGTTCCAAAGTAAAAGCTATAGGGGGTGTGTGTGTGTGTGTGTGTGTGTGTGTGTATTTAAAATGCCTTTATAATTTCCATAGCTTTATGTTTAATTGGCAATTAAATCCACTTTAATTTCCCTCTTAGCACACTAGACGTTTTCTTTCCATACTTTATGGTGTAAATTTGGCTATCTGATTTTCACCTGAGTTGTTTCCTTTAACATGCAAATTAAAGGCTATTTAGCTGACAACTGCCTAGGGTAGTGAAAAAGGTTATTAAGAATTTGAAGTCTATGGTAGGAAAATAAAATTTTTATGAATCTATAATATGTACTTCTATCAGCATGCCTAATATGTCTATGTATTTATGTGTTGTGTACACAATGTTTCACTACTGAAAATATATAAAAGAGCTCTAACTAATTGGCTTAAGAAAATAAAAGTGCTTGGAATCAAATACTTCATCAGGAAAAAAGAGAAGACTCGTCAAATGCTTTTTCAAGTTTACATAATTTAATAAAATCTTTAATAAATAAGCTAGCTTTAAAATTACTGGCAAAATAATATTAGAAATATCTTAAGAATTGCCAAAATATATTTTTGTTTGCATTTATTAATCAAGCAATTTCATACTTATCCCTGCAAAATACTATTAAGGTGTCAAAATTTGGCATAGGGATTAAAAACCATAAATCCAGCCCCAAACAGAATGATCTTTGCTTGCGTAATTGTTAATAAATAAGACATTGATATTGGTTTAATGAAAATAGCTACATCTTGAAGTTAGTAAGATTATCATAACTTCTAATCTTGTGGCTTTAGGCAGTCTAGACCATAGTCAGTAAGGTTTGTTTTGGGAAAAGGCTGTTATTGCCTTTGTTTCAAAGCTAAACTATAAACCAAGTTCCTCCCGAAGTTAGTTCAGCCTATGCCCAGGAATGAATGAGGACAGCTTGGAGGTTAGAAGCAAGATGGGGTGAGTTAGGTCAGATCTTTTTCACTGTCTCAGTTATGATTTTGCAATGGTGGTTCTGTAACTTTAAATGATGACCATTACAGTTTTCATAAATAGTCTAGGTAAACAATTAAAATAATTAGGTAAATGCAATGGGATAATTGTAGACAAACTCATCATAATTTAGAATCTAAAGTTATACTAAAATAATAAATATTTCAATAAAATATATTGTAGAAAAATATTTTTTTTTTTAAAAAGTGTGTCCTTTTTAAAAAGGTGAACAATTTTTGTCTAATTCAATGCTTATTTAGGTCATGTATAAAAGAAGGTAAAAGGAACCAGGAAGTAAGAGACATGTAAAGAAAGTTGTAAAAATAAAGAGGGTTGTTTTGGTAAGAAAGCTTAAAAAGAAATAATGAGAAAGACTCTTATATGGTAAATTTAGTCCTACAATAAAATGACTGCTTAAGAAAGAGGATGGTCAGGACAAACCACAGAGTCCAAGCATGTCATGAATGGTCTAAGACACAATAAGAGGATTTATTTAAAAAAAAAAAGAACAAAGAAACTTTTATATAATTAAAGGGAAATTAAAATGGTCTTTCTAGAGATGATTGGACTTGATGTAAAAAAAATTATGTCTATATATATATACACACACACTAAATCACTGGTTAAAACAATGACATTTTCTTAAGTTATTGATTCACGTTTAATAAATTATAAGAGATTTTAATTTTTTTCTAACCCAAACTTCAACTTTTATTGCATCTCACTGTTTTTAGTTTTCTCTCTCCTTTTAAAGGGTGTGAAATTGTAACACTCTCTTTCAACTCATTTTCAGCTCATATTAAGTTTTTTTCCTCAAGTTCTGTTTGTTATGGCCTGATGCTAACAATGTTTTCATGAATATCCAAAGGAAATGTTTTCTTCCAACATAATATTCTGGCAGTGCAGGTCTTTTCTGTTGCCTTTTAGTAACTGGTCTAACATATTTTATGGTTTATTGAAACAATTCTATGCTATTATGATTCAGTTTGGTTTGCTTGGGGAAAAAAGCTGAAATTAAAAAAAAAAATTTTTAATTAAGGTTATTAACATTCATGTATCTTTCTATATGTTCAAAGTACCTGTGCCATTGAGTTACATGGCTTTGACTTCTGGGTCTAAAAAGGACACCAAGTCCTACTAAATCATAAACACTGACAGCAATTAAAGCCTCATCTTCAGGCTCCGTAGAAAATGCCAATCAAAATAAACTGCGTTTCTAAAACACAAGGCCAGAAATTAAAGGTATTCAACTCCTCAAGGCCCAGGGACTATCATAGAAGAGGCGGGCATGTGAAATTGGAAGGCCCAATTTTGAGAGAGAAAATAAGTTCAGCTTCTCTATAAATTAATCATTCATATCAAAGGCACACTAATGCAAAACCAACATATGGGCCCCTGTGTCAGATTAACAAGGTTTTGTTGAAGCATTAACTGACTCCTTAATAAAGGTTATAAATGCTGTGAAAGGCTTAAGGAAGTTATATCTTATGGTCAAGATTAAAATTTTGGAGACTGTTTATAAACTTTTAAAAATAAATTGAATTGGTTTCATGCTGTTTTTATTAGGCCTTATCGTTTGGAGAATTAAGTCTCCTCTCTCAAAGAATGAAGGTTTTCACCTTTTTCTGAGTTATCACTTTGGTGAAATGAATGACTTATTTTACAATGACCTGTAGTATGAAGTTTTTTAAACCTTTGATATTTGACAAACTTTCCAAAATCAAATGATAAATTATGTCTTTTTTTTGACCTAATTAATTCTTTAAGACATTAGGTTCCCTATAAAGTTCAAAAAATGACATAATTTGGCTTATTTAGTAAAAAAAATTACACAGGAAACATTGTCATATAAGAAATGGTGTTTGGTTTTCTTGGTCTGTATTTGTAGAGATGTTATTAGTATGTGTCCTAAAATTATGAGAAACTCCTATAATTCTGATATGACTTAATGTTATTAGTATGTGTCCTAAAATTATGAGAAACTCCTATAATTCTGATATGACTTAATGTACATTATCAATAATAATTATAATTATTGTGTGCCACAGAGATAATAAATTCCCTTGTCAACTATGTCTTTGACTATGGCTACCCTAAAACTTTTGTCATCCATGGACAATTGTTACCTTCTTTTGGTCCTCTTTAGAAGGTGGTTTTATAATCAGCTATAAAACTCTAACAGGTGCTCTTGAATGAATGTTTCTGATTGGAGATTGTGACATCAAAATAGAAGAAAAACTTTCAGGACTCACAGAGAGCTGGAACATCCATGAATATCAAACAGAACAGGAATTAACTGCATGGACTGAATTAACAGAAGACTGAAGTTATCTTTTTGACTTTTTGCTTAAAATGTTGCTGATCCTTTGTTTTGTTTTTTTCAAAGAAACTTTTCTTTTGCACTATTGACAGCTTCTAACAATTCAGTAGACTCCTATGAACAAAATTTGGAGCATATTTGTTTCTCTCTACCTGATTTCTCTAGAATTTGGAAACTATTTGTGAGTATTCTTAACTTATGGCAATACAGTTATTTGCGTAAGTGCAATAAGAATCTGTTTTCATTTGTAACAGGACACAATTGGAGAAACTAGTTATTTTACCAAGGCTTTGACTGGAATGGTGTGCTTTCCTTTAAGGAATCAAACTTGACTTACAGAGCCAATGAAAGCCCCTTGGGAAAACTGGCTTCACACCTTATCTACACAGTCCCTGTACAGGGTTTCTGACCTGTTGTTAAGTAAAGAATGTCACTTTCTGACAGGCCCAGGAGCCCCAAGTTTATCTTGGAATCAAGAGGAGAGGAATTCACCCAATTCACAGGTATTTGATGGTACAAATCCATGGCTGGGCTTGGCTTTAAAAAAGTCTTACCTGAGATTATTTCTATGGAACAAAGTTCTATCAAAGCCAATTTAAAAGCCTATGTAGGCAGGGCGCAGTGGCTCATGCCTGTAATCCCAGCACTTTGGGAGGCCAGGGCAGGCAGATCACCCCCGAGATCCCGCCACCGCACTCCAGCCTGGGTGACAGAGCAAGACTATGTCACGAAAAAAAAAAAAAGCCTATGTAACAAAATAATTATTCTTGCTGCACTATATACAAACAATCTGGCCAATTAGAAGAAAGCAAATCAGTCCTACCATAATTTGTCTTTAGTGAAAATGAGAAACTGGAGACAGAGAAATTATGTTTCAAAAACTATAGTATACCTATTGTTAGATTCTAGTCCTGCCTAATATTTTTCAATTTTTATTATTTTCTATAGTTTAGACAGAATTCAAACTTTTCTTGGCTACAAGTCTTCAAAATAATGTTTTCAATTTATTTCCCTTCTTTTTTCCCCCATTTTTCCTAATTTGGAGTCACTGAAAACTAAGCTGTGCTTTCTTAATGCCCTAAGAACTGAAGCTAGACACTTAAACTTCAGAAGAAAAGAACAGCAACTTAGTTACATACATAAGCCACTTTAATACCTGCCTACTGACATATGGACTTCAGGTAATGTGGCCTATATAAATTTTCCAGGATTTGTTTTTTGTTTTTTGTTGTTTTTCTCCCTTCCTCCCCGTTTTCTCTTCACAAGACATGAGACTTCACAACCAGCTAAAATTGAGCTTTCCTAATAACTCAGGACCTATCCGTCAAGGAATAAACCATCCTAGCCATGAGAGATCAGACGAAACTTGAGACCAGAGACTCATTTTCTTCTAAATATGCTTTCTCCAAAAGATTTTTAAAAAGGGAGGAAATATGAAAGGAAAATAAATCTTGGAGACCCCAAATCACTAAAGGGAAAAGTCAAGCTGGGAATTGCTTAGGGCAAATCTGCCTTCCATTCTATTCAAAGTCACCCCTCTGCTGAGATAAACGCGTATCTGCTTGCCTCTTTTGGAGAGGCTAATCAGAAACTCAAAAGAATGCAACCATTGGTCTCTTATCTACTTATGACCTGGAAGTCTCCTCCCTGCTTCAGGTTGCCTCACCTTTGCTTCCAGCTGGACCGAACCAATGTTCATTTTACATATGCTGACTGACGTCTCATGTATCCCTAAAATGTATAAAACCAAACTGCTCTGAACACCCTGGGCACATGTCATCAGGACCTCCTGAGGCTGTGTCATGGGTGCATGTTCTCAACCTTGGCAAAATAAACTTTGTAAATTAACTGAGACCTGTCTCAGATATTTGCGGTTCGCAGTACTATGGTGCTCTTCTACTATGCTTGTGTAGAAAACAATACTGCAGAGTTTTTTCTCCTCTGATTCCCAGCTCCTATTGCTTTTCTTTCCTCATCACTTGTATCTACTCCCTTACCTACCTAGGCAATACTAACTGCTTGTTCCTTACTGACTCCTATCTCAATTTTATTTACTTCAGCTTCTCAGTCTTATAAGACTCAGCTCCAGTAAACCTTGGGTTTAAAAGCCACTTGACTGGCAATGGAGTTCACAACAGCTTTCTGGGGTTAACAAATGTTAGCTCTTCCAAGTTGGCATTCTGTGATAGCTGCTCTTAAAATTCCTGGCAGTTGAGAGTTCCAAGTTTTTAAAGTTTTTTTCAGTACACTCCTTCACAGAAAACTTCAGCTCTTACTTCTCTCAAAATAACAGAAATAGTTTTCAAGTCTACAGTGTAATGATAGGACTAACAATAGGAAGACGTTAAGTTAAATAATTAATGTCATAGTAAGTCACTTTCTGTGTATAACTCGTGTATGAAATCTTTCCTGGCCCTTGATGACTACTAAACCACAATTTCAAGAAAATTATATAGTCTAATTATTATTATTTTGAGACAGGGTCTTACTCTGTCACCCAGGCTGGAATGCAATGGTGAGATCTCGGCTCACTGCAACCTTCGCCACTAGGGTTCAAGCGATTCTCCTGCCTTAGCCTCCCAAGTAGATGGGACTACAGGCACCCATTACCATGTCCACCTAATTTTTGTATTTTTAGTAGAGACGGGGTTTTGCCATGTTGACCAGGCTGGTCTTGACCTCCTGACCTCAGGTGATCCACCTGCCTCAGCTTCCCAAAGTGCTGGGATTACAGGTATGAGCCACCATGCCCAGCCTATGTAGTCTAATTAATATGCTAAACAAAATACTGTATTTATAAATTCCCAAGACAGTTAACACATATTCATCCTGCACTTTAAATCTATTAAACTACACATCTCAACTAACTTAACCCACCCTTTCATCAAAAACATAGCTTATCAAAACTCTTCTACTACATCTAAATATGATCCAAGCAGCAGTATGTGCCCAGAAAAATCCCAGTCCCTGTACAACACCATGTTGAAACCATCTCCTCTCTCATTACCAATTAAATCTCCTGCCTTTCACAAACTGAAGGTTTTCCTGGCTTCAAGTCTAGAAATTTACAAATACATTGTTTAATCCAACATAACGGTATACTTCCAGGATACTGTTTCTGATTTGATGCAACTATGTCATCTTCTACCTCTCATCTCAAAACCGTATTGCCTTTAAAATCACATGGGGCCCACTGATTATCTGGTATACTCAAAGTGTTCTACATCTAAGCTTTTAGATTCAATCCTCTTTCATTCTGACCACAAAAGTCACACCTTCCTCCTCCCACATTCACACCTGATCCTTGCCTTTAATGTGTATTCTAATTCCTTAATTCTTTTCTATTCTCCAACTAAATTATCTCCCATCTGGTAATACTTAACTTTCTAAATGGCCTGAATCACACAGTCATTACTTTAATGATGTGCTCCTGAGAAATCCTTACACTTCTTGTTATACCAGTCAGCTCCATCCCCAATGCCAATTTAACACTACCATTCACTCTATCTGCCACCAAGTTGCTGAGTAATGCTTGAGAATAGTAACAAAACAATTGAGTTCCCAATAAATGCATGCTTTCTTCAAACATGCCCTAATATTTCAAAATCCACAATGATTTAATCTCATTAAATACTGATCACATATTTACCTAAATAGGCCCCCAACCTCCTCCACTCACTCACTTTTAGTCACAATCTCTCCCCTTCATGCTACTAAACATAAAACAACTCTACCCTAAAAATGTTCCCATAACTACTGACCCCAACCCCTCCTGATTCTTCTGGGACCTTCCTCCATCTATTAAATATCCTTTTAGGCAGCCCCTCTCTACCTCCTCCTCCTCCACTAACCTTCTCCCTTTTTTTTTTCTTTTCCCCCAACTCTAGAATGACCATGTTCTTTTACCTCAAATTATACTTGCTGCCTCCACCAAATGGAAATTACTCTCTCCAAGCTTAATTTCACTAAATTTACTGATCACTTTCTTAGATCATATTCCTCATGACCTCTTCTTCTCCTTGACCATTCTATAACACGTTTAAAATCAATTCTCTTTTGCAACCTTCTCCTTCTTTGGCTATGGTGACTTTATGCAAGTGATTCCCCAGACAGTGGGAAAGAAGTGAGAAGAGGGATAACCAAATAATCTCTGAGGTTTTAAAAAATTATATTTGCCACCCCACAAACTTCCCCAAATTCTGATTATTTCTTTGCAGAACATAGTGTTTCAGTTGACAATCACTGCCACAGTGAACCACTATGACTGTCTGCAGTACTCTGTGTACTTCAGATGTATTCATGTAGAAAAGACTATCACCAGTACCCTAAACATCATCTTGGTTTTATTCTCACTCCTCTGGTCATTTTTTTTTTTAAGTTCTTACAGTGCTTTTACTAATAACTAGGTAGATAAAATAATATCTTAGACTGTTTAGATGAGGTATAAAGAAACACAATATAATCAATACCAATCCAGGTTTAAGAACAAGAACATTATTATTATCTTTCAAGTCCTTCGGTGAGGCCCTCTCCAAATACAGATCTTCTCGTCTCCCAGAAAAAAAAATCACAATCCTAAATTGAAATCATCTCTTGCTTTTCTTTAACTTAACCATATGTTTGATTCCCTAAGGTTTAGTTTTACATGTTTCAGAATGTCTACATGGGATCACACTATATGTACTCTTCTGTGACATTTTCATCTCACTATTTCTTAGAGTTGTTGAGCATCTGTATTTCATTCACTTTTCTCCGCGAATATTATGCTCTGGCATGTGCAGACCAAAGTATGCCACTCTGGCATAATAATTATTTTGAGTTGAGGGAAATTTAGAAAAAAACAGATACAAGAAAAGCTATCTGCCCTACTCCTACTTGCCTAAAAACAATAAATTCACAAAGGTCTCCCTCCTCTTCTCTTTACGAGGAAGGACGAAAGTTAATCAAAGGAGACAACTTTAGACACTTAGCCAGAGGAATCTGCATAACAAACTTTACCAACTAGTCTTCATCTACCATTAGTTTCCCACAGTTTGCTGCCCCTAGAGACTCCTTTTCTTTTGTCTGATCGCTTCTTTAAAAATTTGTTTCTTTGCCAAGATACTATATACACTCAAGTTCTAACCAAACTTTTGAGTTACTCATCTCTGGTACTCCTATTGGTTGCATGCTTGATACATGTTAATAAACTTGTTTGTTTTTCTCTTGTTTATCTATCTTTTGTTATAGAGGCCCAAATGAGAATTCAGAACGGTAGAAGGAAAAGTGTTTTTCCTCTCCTATATGTGCATATACCAACATTTATACAAATATTCAGATTGGTTCCTGCTTTTTTCCATTACAAGCAGGGCTGCTATGAGCACTCTTGTATGTATCTCCTGGTTCTTCGCTATATGCCCAGAATGAAACTTGTGGATCACTGACTATGCACATTTTCAACTTTACTAGATAATGCCAAACTATCTTCCAAAATAGTTATACTAATTTATATTCCCAACAGCAATACTTTTGTTCCTACTGTTCCACATTCTCTCCAGCACGTTATTGACAGACTTAAAACTTTACAACCTGGCAGGGGTGAAAAGGTATATCAATTTGACTTTAATTTGCATTTCCTTGATTTCTAATCAGTTTGTGCATCTTTTCATATGTTTATTGACCACTGGAGATTTTTCTTTTTTAATGTGTCTATTTAAGTTTCTTTGCCCATTTTTCTATTATTTTTTCTTACTGATTCAGATGCATTCTATATATGTCCTCAGTACAAATCTTTTAAGTTATAAAAATAATAGGAAACACTTATGCAGCACTGTTATATTTTACATTATATATTTAATTTCAATAGCAACCCAACAAGGTAAGTGCTATTATTATTTCTTTTACAGATAAGAAAACTCAAGACCCAAAGTAGTTAAATAAAACTTTGTGTTTTAGGATTGCCTTCCCTATTTATAGACTTTTGTTCTTCCACATGAATTTCAGGAAAAAATACAACAAAACGAAAATCTGCCAGTATTTTTGTACTGATGTTGAATTTAACTAAACTTTCAATAGTTTTATAATTTTCTCTATGAATGTGTTGTATGTCTTATGTTTGTCCGTTGTTTTATATTTTTGATGCTACTATATAATGCTTTTTTTAAATGACATTTTAAAACATGATGGGTATACAGAAACAGCTGATTTTCGTATACTGATTTTAAATCCAGCAAACCCATCAAACTCTCATGAATCCTGATAGCTTGTAAACATTCTTTGGCTTTCTATGTAGATTATCATATTATCCATTAATAATGACTATTTAGTTTCTTCTTTTCCAATCCCCACCTTTTTGACTTAGGCAGTGGCTAGTAACTCAGTAAAATGTTAAACAGAAGTAAAAGTAAACAAAGAAGTAAACAAAGTAAACAAAGAAAAGCCAAAAAAAAAAAAAAAGTAATGAAAAGTAATGAAAGACAACAGGCTTGCTCCTAATCATAAAGAGAATGTTTCCAATTCTTCACTATAAAATACATTTGTTTTAGTAAATGCATTTTATCAAGTTAAAGATCGCCTGAAGCCGGGAGGCAGAGGTTGCAGTGAGCCAAAATCATGCCACTGCACTCCAGCCTGGGCAACAGAGCAAGGCTCCGTCTAAAAGAAAACACAAAAAACAAAACAAAACAAAAAGAACACTATCTTCTGTTCCCATTTTATTAAAAGCTTTTCTAAAACCATGAATGAATGCTTAAGGCCTTTTCTGCATTTATTGGGAGAATCATACAGGTTTTATTCTTTAATCTGTTAATGTTGCATATTATATTGATTTCCCATCCCTTAAATGAAGCCAGGCTTAAACTCCTGGGATAAATCCAACTGGTCGCATTATATTTTTTCTATATTGCTGAATTTAACTTGCTGACATTTAAGATTCTTATACCAATTTAGAAGGGAGAGAGAGAAATTACAGACTACTATAGGTTTTAGAACTGTAGTTATGCTAGCCTCACAAAAAGGTTTGGAAGTGTTCCCTCGTTTCCTATATTCTAGAAGAATTTGCATAAATTGGTTATTATTAATTTGTTCCTTAAATACTGGCAGAATTTGCTATAAAGTTCTATGGGCCTGAAGTTTTCTTTATAAAAAGATATTTTCACTATTAACTTATTTCATAGTTATGGAACTAACCATGTATTCTATTTCTTCTTAAGTCAGTTTTAGAAATGCATATTTTTCTAAGGGTTTACCCATACCTAAGTTCTCAAATTTATCGACGTAACAGTTGACCCTTACACAATACAGGGATTGGGATACTGACCCCAACACACTCAAAAATCCATAGAGAACTTTTGACTCCCCTCAAACTGAACTACTAAAATAGCCTACTGTTGACCTTATCACTAACAGAAACAGTTAATAACATAGTTTGTATACTGTATTCTTGCAATAAAGTAACCTAGAGAAAGCATGTTATTTAAAAAATCATAAAGGGAAATATATTAACTTCATCCTCATCATCTTCATGTTGAGTAGCGTGAGGAAGAGAGGTTGGTCTTTCTGTCTCAGGTTGGCAGAGGTAAAAGAGGTGAAGGTGGAAGGAGTGGCAGGAGAGACGGGCACACTCAATTGAACTTTCATTAAAAAAAAAAAAATCTGCTTATGAGTGGACCTATGCAGTTTAAACACGTTGTTTGTTGTTCAAGGGCCCACTATAGTTATGAACAGTCCTAATTTTTTTTATTTATTAATTTTATTTATTTATTTATTTATTTATTTATTTTGAGATGGAGTTTCTCTCTTGTTGCCCAGGCTGGAGTGCAATGGCGCAATCTCGGCTCATTGTAACCCCCGCCTCCTGGATTCAAGCGATTCTCCTCCTGAGTATCTGCGACTACAGGAACATGCCACCACGCCCGGCTAATTTTGTATTTTTAGTAGAGACAGGGTTTCACAATGTTGGCCAGGCTGGTCTCAAACTCCTGACCTCAGGTGATCTACCTGCCTCAGACTCTCAAAGTGCTAGGATTACAGGTGTAAGCCACCGTGCCCGGCCCTTGTTTTTAATATCTACAGCAATATTAGGCCTTTTTTGTTCCAGGTAGTATTTTATTGGTAACTTTTTTCTTGTCGGTTTGAAAAGTCTTGATTTTATGTCTTTTCAAAAAAACAATTTTGGGTTTTATTGATTTTTCTCTACTGTATATTCACTTTCTATTTCATTAACTTATGTTATTATTTCCATTCATTTCATTATTATGTGCTTTCTTTTACCCAGGAGTCATTTTAAAATATTTCATACTTTCCAAACTTATTTTTCTAATGATCTCTACTGTACTGCACTATAGCCAGGAAATGTTAATAAATACGCTACCAATATTATGAAACTTGAGATTTGCTTTATTATCTAGTATTCGGTTTATTTTCACAAATCATATGTGCTTCAGATATGTATTTTGCATTTATTTTGGCACAATATACTATACATGTCCATTTTTTATTTAAATCTTCTATATCCTTAATTTTTAAAAAATCTGAACAATTATTAGGTGTTAAAAGTCTCTCACCATGTTGATGGAGATGTCCATTTTTCCCTGTAGTTATATCATATTTTTGCTTTATGTATTTTCAGGCTACATCAATAGTTACACACAAATAGAAATGTTATATTTATTGGTGAATTGAATCTTTCATCATTTATGTAGCAAACATTTTCTCCAATATCTTTGCCTTACAATTTCTTTTTGCCCAGCCAGTTTTCTTCTTATATTTGTGTGGTATATACATTTCCATCTTTTTACTTTCAACCTTTCTGAATCTATATTTTAGATGTGTTACTTCACCCAGCATATGGCTTAAATTTCTCTCTTTAAACTATTCATCTTTAAAACACTGTGTCTTTATCTTTAGTTGAAATACTACAGATAGCCTTTTGGGGTTCTAGATTTATAGGAGTATCATCTATGAAACTACCTACTTTAGATTGGCCCTATGTTTTGTATACTGAGCCCCTCTGAAATCATAAAAACAGAATTCAGCAAATTCTCTCAAGGTAAAGGCTGGCAATCAAGCTCACCTTAGCTTTCTGAAATTTTTGCCTTAAGTTTTTAACCTGCATTCTTTACTTTGTTGATAGCTCATGAATGCCTTTAAGATTTTTAGGCCAGACACAGTGGCCCACACCTGTAATCTCAGCACTTTGGGAGGCCAAAGCGGGCAGATCACTTGAGGTCAGGAGTTCAAGACCAGCCTGGTCAACATGGTGAAACCCCGTCTCTACTAAAACTACAAAAATTAGCCACGTGTGGTTGCACACTTCTGTAATCCCAGCTACTCCGGAGGCTGAGGCAGGAGAATCACTTGAACCCGGAAGAAGCAGGGTACAGCGAGCTGAGATTGTACCACTGCACTCCAGCCTGTGCAACACAGCAAGACTCCAACTCAAAAATAAATAAATAAATAAATAAATAAAACAAGATTTTTAAAAAATTATCAAGCTTCTTTAGCTGTTTTCAGCAGGAGTCAGTCTTGTTACCCATACTGACCTATTCATTCTTCACTGGCTGCACATCATCTTTCTATACCCTAAATAAAGGAAATGTATCAAGGCTTACGCTTCAGCTTACCAATTATGCTGCATTACACCACCTCTTTTGGAGACTTCATCACTCTTAGTATAGTCATTACCATTTATTACAGTGACAATTACATTAGAATTTCTCAACAAATATATGTATAAATCTTGATGGTGGTGAGGGGAGATGGGGAATAATTTGGGAAAAGTTCTACAAATGATATCTACACATACAGGAATAACCATATGGCCTACTCACTGTTCTAACGACTTCAACTACTTATAACCATCGATAAGGAAATATACCTCTGGATTGACCTTTTTTCTGAGATTCAGACCTGCAACTTCAATTGCTATATGAACATTTCCTCCTGAATTCCTACCACCAACACAAACCCAACATGGCCAGATCAAATGTCATCTTCTCATAAATTTGCCCTACCTACCAGTTTCCAAACCTCTATAAAAGATATTATAAGTCTTTGAGGTATCCAGACAAATCTTTGGTTCGTTTTTAAGATTTTAAGATGTCCTTTTTCTTTTCCCACATCATCACAAAGTCCTTCCTGCATTCATTTGTGTTAGTCTATTTCACTCAAGTCATTCCTTTTGTCACCCTCTTATTCTAAGTCTTTGCCAGGACTGTTGCAGTCTATCACCAACAGATCTTGCTTCTAGTACCTCTTGACTCCTATTCCTTCTGCATACTACTATAAGGTGAATTATCCTTAAAACATTGTATATCACCCACCCATTCAAATATATTTAATGAGTTAAGCCTACAGAAGTCTTCAATTGGTCAACAGCATATTTATTTATTTATTTATTTTTGAGATGGAGTCTCTCTCTGTTGCCCAGGCTGGAGTGCAGGGGTGTGATCTTGGCTCACTGCAACCTCTGCCTCCCGGGTTCAAGCAATTCTCAACCTCCCGAGTAGCTGGGTGTGCACCACTACGTCCGGCTAATGTTTTGTATTTTTATTAGAGATGGGGTTTCACCATGTTGGCCAGGCTGATCTCCAACTCCTGACCTCAAGTGATCTGCCTGTCTCGGCCTCCCAAAGTGCTGGGATTATAGGCGTGAGCCACCACATGGCCAGTCAACAGCATGTTTAACAGCTGGTCAGAGATGTAGGGAAGAGAAGAGGAGGGGTAACCAAGAAGCTATAGCCGTTGGCCAAGCAAATCCCATTTCATCCTGAGTGTTTTAAACACTGGTAAATTACTGTGGAATGGGATAATGCTAGAAGCAAAAAGTATCCCTCCTTTTCAGTTGATGATGGATTCTAAAATGCTGTGTATTTTTTATCAGCCTCAGTCCACCCAACAAAACAAAAAGGACCAAAGAAGGAAAAAGTAATGCATTCTATTTAAAACTGTCCTTGCCTACCCTAGAGGCCAAGCTCTTTCATGAAGCCATCTTCAACTACCACAATCACTGGTGACTACTATTTTCTCTAAGAGCCACAGTTTCTGTCTACACTACTCAATAAGCAACTGGGATATGCTACTTACTATTATAATTTATATTATCATGAACAAGTCTTTTCTCCCTATCATGGGCACTATGAAGGACATAATATCTAATGTTTCATATACCTAATATTTAGAATAATACTATACACATAATTTTCAATGAAGGCTTGTAGTACTTAGCATCTATATTTAGCTTTCTGTATGTCTTCTATATGTGTATTCAGGAGTTCTTAGAAGCCAAGGGGAAAAAAAGACAAAATTATCTTTAAAAGTCACACCTCTGCTTTTTAAAATGCTGAAACGATGTAACTTATAATATTTTGACATCATACTTAAACTGACTTTCATGATTCAGGTGGGAGAAAAAAACCCAACACTTAGGTTGACATATGGATATACTCAAACTAGTTTTTCTTTTTTTTTTTTTTTAAATCTACCCTGGTCAGACTTCCCAGAGACTTACAAATAGGCTGATAATATCATCTAGAACTTCAGTCAACTATTTTATAATAAAATTCAAGGAAAAAGTTCAGAATTCTCCAAAGTGCCTTTCAGATATATACTTATTGCAGTGTTTATAAAATTGTGGTTTTCACTTTTTACTGATTTAAGGGCTAACATTGTAAAACAGTCATTTATTTACATCCCTATTTCCCACAATAGCCTATAGCATTTTGAAAGAACAAGATTTATTCATCTTTTTTCTTTGGTACCAAGTAGTTGATAGGGACTCAATAAATGTTTATTGAATAAATCTGTCACAACTCACAAGACAGATCTAAAAATCCATGAATATCCTATTTAATTATTTTAAGATAAATTATGTTATTATACCATAAGATATTCAATAAGACATAAATATTTTAGTTATTAATTATTGTTTAAAAAAAAAGAGCCAGAAGGGAAAAGCCACCTAACAGCACAAAAAATCTGTAAGACTCCTTTAAGGTTTTTATGTTTTGATGACAAACAGAAACCAATCACCTTTAAAAGGAAATGAACACAAGAGGCAGCAGATAAAAAGTTAAAAACTACAGCTTATATTAATAATCAACAACTTTTACAGCAATTCATTAATTAGATTTTAGTGTAGCTTATAAGTTTAAGACTGAGAGCGTTTCAGTATTATCCACATTTCAGATGTCATACACAGCAAAAGGCATATCATTACTGAAGATAAATATTTTGGGTTAGCCTAAAAACTTTTATCTAGATCCTACCTCCAAAGCTGACAAAAATATTCTAATGAAGATGTTCACAATATTTTATTGTTTATTCATTTTTCTTCTGATAAGTTGTTTATATAGTAAAAAATGACTTGAAATAATGTCATAATAAACTAGTACTTTGTAAGAGTAATAAAACTATGAGTACCAATACATTTTCATGTGGGTCTTATAGAATTTCTCATTAATTTGTGAACTCTACCAAATTTTTAGTTTGAGGGGAAAATACTTGTTAGCCACAAGAAAAATGATCTTCAAACATTTCAATCATACCTGTTTCTGAGCTTCTACTTTTTGCTTTCTGGTTGGATCAATTGCATCTACCATCCATTTGATAGTAAAGTATGTCACTGCACCAAATATTGTCAAACGGAAAATTAAACCAACAACTTCATTCCGACTCAAAGGACGAGAAAAGGCTTCAGCATGTACCATCTTGAATGTTAACCTTAAAAAAACAAACAGAAATGTCACTAGGTAATAACTATACTTATTAAAATTGTAAGACTAACAAAGTAGCTTAAACTAAGAAAGAAAAACTAACTTCTAGTCAAATTAAAATATTACCTACCTTAAAAAAAGTGTTTCATTTTAAGGAGAAATGGATTTTTAAATGTTAAGTAAACAAATACATTTAAAGCTCCTCTTGCAAACTAGAAGTAGACTAGAAATTAAGATTTATTTGGTAGTAGAATTAATCATTTTATTTGAAAAATACAGTAAATATCTTAAGGTATTTACTCAAAACAGCTTTAAAGAACTATTTCAGAGTCTAGGAAAGTATCAACTATAACACTAATCCAACTGAAGAAAGGCAGCCCAACAATACTAATGTGACGGTAAGAATTTCTTCTATTAACTGTATCATATACCAGGTAATTTTTGAGTGAAATTCAAATTGTGAACTGACTCACTTTTTCCTCATACATACTTTTAAAGGTTTTCAAGGCCTGCTTAAATTTAAACATGCCATTTCCTCAGTAATAAGTGGTATTAACTTTTTTGAGCCACACTATTGTTCCCAACAACCGGGCTAAGTAGGAAGCAATAGAACTTGGAAAAATCTTGAACTGAGACAACTACTACAAGAATACAGCACTCACCCAAGCTAAAGAGAAAAAAAATGAGATAAATGTGCCTATTTTTGCATATATCCCTGAACAGCTACATCAATCAAAGCTAGGCTTACAGAAGACATACACTCCTCTGTCAATGGCAATAACTACCCGGAAGAATAAGCTTGTTAGGGATGATATGACTATCACATTTTGGGAGATAGGATCTTAGCTTCAAATACTGCCATTATACTCTCAGCACAGGAGTGTGCTGAATGCTATGGGATATATAAGAAAAAGAGAATATATATTTGTACTTACATAAACATGAAAAAAAACAGAATTTGTATGGCTCAGCAGATAAAAGTTAGGTACTGCAAAGATTAATATCCATGGTCCTTCCAGCTCTAAAATTCTCCTCTCACTACTACTAAATTAAAGAGCCTCTTCACCTTCCTCCCTCTAGAATAGCTCCAAAAATTTTTTATTTCCTTTTATACCCCTCACCTCCACTCAAGGATATATACTCCTTCTCTCTAATCAAAAGACCCCAAAGTATTTCCTTTATACGTTTCCCAAGCATTCAAAACTATTCTAATCTAGAATCTAGCTCCAGAGTCAATTGTAAGCATTTTCTCTTTCACCTCTTTTCAAAGGGACTCTATAAATAGCTGGAGTCACTACCATCTGAAAATCCCACATATATTTTCCCTTCAGCGTATCTGTCTAGTATCCTGCATGGGCCATTTACCCTCATTCACCTAGGATTAGTCAAATTCTATCCTAACTTCAAAAATCAACTTTATTTGCTCCATAAAGCCTTTCAAATCACATGAATCTTCGTATTATTCATTTCGCCCTATTACACTATCTTAAAAAAGTCTTGCTTTTGAGATATCTACTCGACTAGAGTTTAAATCCTTATAAACAAGATGTATATCTTATCTACCTTTATAACTGTCACACACAAAACAGACGTTTATAATTGCCACACACAAAACAGAGGCTATTCAAAAATTATGTTCAACAGATAAATTGTAACTGAAGGAAATCTCCCATTCAATCATTGCAACAGTCACTTCTGAAGGATTTCCAAAAGGTTCCACATTTCTCCACTAGGAGCCATTCACTTCACAATAATTAGATTTAATTTAAACTTAACAACTAAATAATTGAAAGCCTTCATTTTGGAGGAAGAAACTTTGGCCTAGGGATGGTAAATGATTTAATTCATTCAATTTGCATTTACTGAACATCTATATATGACGCCCACTATATATTGGATATACAATAATTGTTAAGATATCACCACTTCATTCAAAGAACACACTGTCCGGCTATTATATTAATTATAAAGAAAGCAAAAGAAGCCAAAAAGGAGAAGGCACCTAACTGAAATCTCTCTTCATGGAACAAACCAAAGTGTGCTATCTTCCATCAGCATGGATTCCAAAAAAAACGGGTTACACAATATTTCACTTCTCATAGGAAGTAAAAAACTGACTTTTCTAGTCTTTATTCCACAAAGTTGAAAATGCAGTTGAAACGTGTTATATCACTACGTGGGGTATACTCACAGAGGAAAATAATTTAGACAAGATAAGGGTTTTATTAACCTAATCTGTGAAAAGCGGTGGCATTCCAGTAAAACGTTTTCGTTTTAGAGTTGGTAGTGATAAAACTACCAACCAAGTCATCTACTGGATATTCATTGAACTACATGAACAAATTAGGGCTGTTATGAACACATCCCAGTCATCAAGATAGTAACAACTTTTAATCCCATAAAAGGTCAACACACAAAACCCGTTTATATCCTTCCCAATTCTGAAATTTTTAATGTAATAAAGACTTAGGTCTACTAAGGCCACTTGTAAAATAGTAGTCTACCTTTTTAAATTACTTCAAAATCCTTCAATGAAACTGAAACTTGTTTTGTAGACTGTAACTATATATACTTTATTGTACACTCATGTATCATTCATTTGGTATTGATATACCTAAAATGTAAGGCTGTTACAGCAGCAATACCATCACCAGCGAACATACAATAAAAGCTGCATGCGCATACAACAGCAGGGAGCGTATTTCAATCCTGTATAAACATTAGGTTCAACAAAATGAATACACAAATATGTACATATACGATGATAGTGCTGTATGCAACTAAGAAACATCCTAAAACACTATAACCTAGAGTTATTTGTTAGGCAAATATGGTATCAGGTCGTTTCATTTTAAGTTCTCCATTTCCGAGTGGAAAACCGTGAAATCGTACTACCTCATCTATGAGCAATTTATTGACATGTATAGCATTCATAGCATAGCATTCACTGTAGTATTTCTCTCCTAATTCATTGCAGTATTTCACAAATCGTTTCTCAAACTCAAAAGTCCCAGTTTTGCAGGCATAAAGGCCCTACGAATACAGCCTATGACAATGAAGGCCTGCCAATCTTCACAAAGAGGGCAGGTTATTATTAACATCACCATCTTTTGTGAAAGCGTGCCCGGCCCTGAAGAACCACCTTCGATTTTGCACAAGGTGGTGGCCGCGCCTGTGCGACAATCAGACCTGGTTCATTCCAGCCGCCTTCGTCTAGGTTCGCCTGGTTCTGAAGTCTTCCGGGACGACCTCAAACCCCCACAGTGACCAGGATGCCGACAAAGATTCCCTCGGGAATGGCACGAGTCTTGGGGAAGAGCTAAGCAGACCCTAAGGGCCCAGGCCGGGCCGGACGCCAAGGCGAGGCCCGGGACGCCCTTGGAGGTTAATCCTCTAGATACTAAGGGCTGCGGGGCGCTTGGGGGCGGCACTGAGGTAGGGCGTGGGAGAAGACCGGGGTGACCTTTCCTCCGGGGGTTCCCAGGTCCGAGACGGTCCTTAAAGGACCTCAGAAGGATACGACAACCATCCCATGAGGCCCCACGGGAACCAGCTACTCACCCAGGGGCAGAAACAGCAAGAGCAAGTGCCCTCAGCCGGCCTCACACAGGAAGGAAACGCAACCTGGGAGAGAACGCTTCCGGCGGGAGGCGCGGCGCACTCCCTCCCACGGAGCATGCGCGACCCGCGGTCGCCGGCGCGGAGGGGGCGTGCTCCCAGGCTTAGAAACAGTGAGGGAGAGCAAATTCGCGCACCTGATGTCTGCTTAAGCTACCTGCTAGACTGAGACTTTCTGCGAAGCCGGCGTGTCTGCGAGCAGCACTCGCTAAGGCTCTGCGTTTAACAGACACTACCTTTGGGAAGGCGCTTATCACAAAAAGTCCCTGCCCTTCTCGCGGGCTCGGGGCGCAACCCTGACAAATCGGGCAGCCTTCTTGAGAGTGCAGAAATGCTCTGCGTACCCAGCAAATACATTCTCTCCTTCCCACCACTCTGTGCAAACCCTCACGCCGCGGCTTTGTGTCTGTACTTTAGCCAAAACGCAGAAGCTTATGGCCACCCTCCACTCCTCACCCCTCATCCCTCACCACCTGCCTTTCAATTCTCGGGTGAGCTCACCCTTCTCCCCCATCTCTGTGCTGACAAACACCTCGGGGTGGCGCCTGACAATCTTTCCGCGAAAAGATTTAGCAGCCCACGCCACCAGACTCGGTAGTTAGGACGGAATAGGGCATCTGGTAACAGATTTTGCATTTTGGTGATTTCCCTTTTTCTTTCACCCCTTTTCCTTTCCAGAACGAGCGACGTGACACAAGAGGTCCCAAGGGAGCAAACCTGAAAGCCAGAGCCTCCTGAATACACAAACTGCCGGTGGGCCAGATGACATTAGACACTCCTGAGATACGAGAAGCATCACTTCCTTCAGACAGAGTCGGTGAGACTATGATGTAATGAGAGTTCTCCCTGTGTTCCTCAGGAAGGCAGCTTGTGCCTTTCTACTTGAGGCATCATCTTTGATGGCTAAAGAATTCTGCAGCTTGGCCAGCGCGGTGGCTTACGCCTGTAATCCCAACACTTTGGGAGGCCGAAGCGAGAGGATCACTTGAGGTCAGGAATTCGAGACCAGCCTGGACAACATAATGAGAAATCGTCTCTACAAAAAAAAAAAAAAAAAAAAAAAAAAAACCACCTAAAAATTAGCTGGATTTGGTGGCGCATGTCTGTAGTCCCAGCTACTTGGGAGGCTGAGGTGGGAGAATCGCTTGAGCGTGGGAGATCACGGCTGCAGTGATCAAGCCACTCCACTCCAGCCTGGGCGACAGAGCAAGCCCCTGTCTCAATAATAATAACAATTTTGCAGCCTGATTGTTAACGAATGTTACTAGTTACAAACTTGTAATAATGTGGTGAAGATAATACCTAGTTAATGTCTGCTGGGGTGGGGCAATAAGCTTCTATGTGCTTTACATGCATAACCTAAATATCTCCCCCAAAATCCTCTAAAATAGCTATCATTTTCTCCGTTTTTACAAATGAGCAAATTTTAAAGCTTAAACCTTAGAGAAACTTTTCTAAGTTCATATACTTGGGAAATAAAGGCAACAATTTCATTGGAACATAGGTCTGTCTAATTCATACCTTGTACTTTACGTTTTCTCTTTGAGATGGTAATTTAATACCAGCTAAACTTTAAAATCTAGTTGAAAGTAAGACCATGAAATGCCAAAATCACAAGGCTTTAAAGGATGGGATGAAAGGGATGCATGAATGTTGAAAACTATGATTAAGTTCATGGACAGGAATCAGAATGGAATTGAATACACCCGTGCCTGTTTAGTATTTAAGGCTTTATATACGTGCATGCCTACATTCCTAATTTAAAAAAAAAATGGATGTGAAGCTAGGTTTGGGATTACTAGACTATTTAGAGAGATAGACCTTTGAGAAGAACGGAAAGATTATGAGACGAGGACAATGTTCATTAAAAACAAACAACAACAACAACAACAAAAAACAGAGGCTATCAGTGCTCAGCAGACTTTCAAGAGACTCTCCACTGGGTCCTTGGATGATCCCAAGCTGAATCATTGCTTGGGAGGCTCATGGACACATGGTTTGGCAGGGCTAAAAGGGGGAGGGTCACTAAAGGCAAGAAACAGGTTTTGTGCCCCAATAGGGTAATTATATCCACTGGTAAGGAAAATGAGCTGAGAAATTCAAGATAGTAATGGATTTTCATTCATTTACTGAGTGAAATTGGTTCAACTAAGAGCCTCACCTGCCCTCTTCTAAGGACCAGGGTGACCAGCCTACCCAGTTTCAGTTTGCATGAGACTAAAAGGTTTGCTGGGATATAAAACTGGCTGACAAAGTCTCAGGCAAATCATGAGTCACTCTACTAGAGACATCCTAAATGAATCCTACAATGAAATGGAGTTCCCAGTATGGTTACATCTAGTCTCAATTCATCTGCCTAATATTTGAGGGATGATTGCACAGGAAGGGAAACTGTTGAATAAAGTCACGAGGCTGACCATAAAGAGTCTACAAGCTCGAAAAGTGCTACACCTCACTCCCTTTCCAGTGGTTCAGCCACTGGAAACCAAATGCCTACACCTATATGTTTTGGACCTAATATTTTCATTTAGCAAATCCGTAAGAAACCTTCCATGTCTGGGCCTAAGACATCAAGTACATTCATTTTCAGCAATCATCAAATCAATGAGATTCTTCCAGAATACAGCAGAGTGAACATATGCTTTTCATTCCAGGATAGCTTTATATAATCCCTGGCAACACAAAATACCATATTTGGCCCACAGTAGGGGCTCAATAAATAATTCAATATATATAATATTAATCAGGAAATTAGAGCAGACTGTAGACTTTCTGGGCCTTTGCTCTTTGTTAGAATCAAGATATTAAAAAGAATTATTACTTTATTCTAGAAAGTTTTTGGGTTTTGTGTGTGTGTGTTTTCTGTATCAGTAACTCTTAAAATAGTTATGGCAGTTCTCCTCCAAGGTGCTGAATTTTCCACTTTTGTTATTAAATGGAGTGTAGCTAGTTTGCTCTGCAATCAAGGTTAATGCACTAGACACCTGGTGGGAAGAAAGGATTCCTTAAATTAGGTGTTCTTGGCTGGGCGCAGTGGCTCACGCTTGTAATCCCAGCACTTTGGGAGGCCGAGGCAGGTGGATCACCTGAGGTGAGGAGTTCAAGACCAGCCTGGCCAACATGGTGAAACCTTGTTTCTACTAAAAAAAAATACAAAAATTAGCTGGGTGTGGTGGCGGGCACCTGTAATCCCAGTTACTTGGGAGGCTGAGGCAGGAGAATCACTTGAATCCAGGAGGCAGAGGTTGCAGTGAGCCAAGATCATGCCACTGCACTCCAGCCTGGACAACAGAGTGAGATTCCATCTCAAAAAAAAAAATTAGGTGTTCTCAAATTTCACTGTATATAGATTAACTTGGACAACTTGGCAAAATGCAGATTCCTGGCTCCCAGTCTTCAGAGACTCCCGTTCAACTACTGTAGGTTTTGGCCTAGAAATCTGCATTTTACAGTAAGCATCTGGGCTCTCCGCCATGTGAGGATGCAGGAAGGTGTCTGTCTGCAAGCCAGGAAGGATACCCTCACCAGACAGAGTATATGCCAGTATATTGGATTTCCCACCCTCCAGAACTGGGAGAAATAAATTTCTGTTGTTTAAGCCTATCAGTAAATCAGTAAACAAACATCTGAGCTGATTGGGATATAGGTAGTTTTGGACTCTATTTTGAGAAATTCTGCCCTAGTGAATGAAGACTGTAGATGTATTTTTGCAAAAATCTCTACTACCTTAGCCTAAAAGGCCTATCTGGTCAGCTGAACCATTAACCCAGCTGGAATACATCAAGAAATCAAGGCAAGGAAGCCTCATGATGAGATTCAGGATAGAACGCCTTTGGAAGGAAAAACAAATCTGAAATCTTTGAATAAGTAAACACAGTAAACCTGACTCTATTCATTGCTCATTAGAAGTAATTCACTTGACAATGATTTAGAAAGAATAGAACTTCAACAAATAGGTAAAATTATATAACAGTAATTATGCCAGTATAATTCACTTGGTTACCTTTGTTCTTTTAAAAATATCATAAAAGGATAATTTCAATCATTATTTTTTAATTTTTTAAATCATGTCTTCTGAATCATATGAACCATTATTTTGACAAGGTAAATTAAGTAGAATGGATGGAGAAAGAAAAGTAAAGCAAGAATATGAAGCTATACCTGAAGCTGTACTTGAAGCTCCAATAGAAAGATAATATAGAACACAATGGAGTACTATTCAGCCATTTAAAAAAATGAGATCCTGTCATTTGCAACAACATGGACAGAACTGTAGGACATTATGTTGAGTGAAATAAGCCAGGCACAGAAAGACAAACTTTGCATGTTCTCACTCATTTGTGGGAGCTAAAAATTAAAACAGTTGAACTCATGGAGATAGAGGGTAGAATGATGGTTATCAGAGGCTGGGAAGAATAGTGGTGGGGGGTAGGAGGGAAGTGAGAATGGTAATGGGTACAAAAATACAGTTAGATAGAAAAAATAAGATCTAGTATTTGACAACACAGCAAGGTGACTACAGTCAACAGTAATTTATTGTGCATTTTTAAATAACTAAAAGAGTATAATTGGAATGTCTGTAACAAAGAAATGATAAATGCTTGAGGTAATGGATACCTCATTTACCCTGATGTGATTATAACACATTGTATGCCTGTATCAGCATATATCATGTAATCCATAGATACACACACCTACTATGTACCCATAAACTTTTTTAAAAAATGAAAAAAAAGCTAAACTAAAAAATAAAAATAAGAAAGAATAAGATAGAATCAAGGAAAAAATAATGGAAATTTAAAATTTCAAAAGATTGGAAGAAGTAGAAAGATGAATTGATAACTCCATTCTGTAAAAAGAAGAGAACTAAAAAAAAAAAAAGACAACAGCAAAGTTCAAAGAACATATTGCTGTAAATCTACTTTCCATGGTTTTATGTTTTTAAACTTTACACATAATTTTAAATGAGTGTATATAAAAAGAAGTTATATATAATTTTCTTGTGTTATCAGGGTAATACTAATCCACAATCTGCATTTCTACGTAACCTTTTTCTCAAGCAGCATTGCCAAGTGTACTTTTTAAAAACTTCTACCAAAAAATGTTTTCTAGAACTTGGAAATTTACAACCTACAATATTTTATTTAGCTTTAATACAGTACTGTTCAAATGATACTATCTGTGAAAAATCAGGATTGAACAAAACCAGAATTGCTTCAGATGTCTAACCCTACTGTAGCCTCATTAGCAGAAGTTTTAAGGCGTAGATGAAAGAGTGATCCCCCTAGGATTAAATTGGGACCTTCATAATGCCCCTGCCTATGGTTTCTTAAATGGGGAGGAGGTGGGAAAGATTGAGTAAGAATAACAAAGATACAAATGCATTAGTTAAAATAGAAGAAACAATAGTTGAAATGTTAATTCTCAATTCCTGTAACAACAGATTGATAGATGAGGCATAAAACAAGACCAGATGCTGTGGTTTTCAGGATGCACTTGGCTTCCCATCCTTTATAACCTAGAGCAATTTTTGCTGTAAGTAGGTCACTTGCCTTCTCTCATTTACCTGATTCTAGGAAAATGCCCTTGAAAGTATTTAGAAAATAATAGGTACTGGTACTTAATATTTTAAAAATTAAGATCGCATAAAACCTTCCTCCTCCCACCCGTTTCTCTAATAGCCAGAATAACTGATAACCTTGAAACATATGTGAAACTAAAATGAACAAGAATAATTTGAGGTCTTTTATCTTCTAAGCACAAGTACACTAAACTCTGTGTCCATTCTGTTAGTTCCCGTAATTCACTTTGGTTAGCACTGGCATAGTACTCAGCTCACAGAATTATAGTTGAAGTCTTTATTCTCCTATAATATATTATCATCTTGAAAAAAGAGGATGCCTAGAACATAGGAGAGGCTTAACAAGATTTAACCTGACTAGAGAGAAAAGAGGATGCCTAGGACATAGGAGAGGTATAGATTTAACCTGATTAAAGAGGAAAAAAAAGGGAAGGGGGGAGGAAAGACAAGTGGTCCAAAGGTATGACATACGATTCAAACCATTTTACTGATGATAATTATATGATTGCCCTATCCTGATGTGTCCATTAGAAACTAGTCCAATCGGGGAGTCTTGGTATCTATAGGGTATAAGAACGTGAACTTGACAGACCTGGGTTTGAATTTAAGATCTACTGTATACTGACTCTGTTAATTTGGACAAGTTACTTATGTTCTCAAGCCTCAGTTTCCTTATATTTAATATGGGAACAGTAACAGTACACATGCCATGGACTTGCACTAAGAATTCAATGAGACAATACATGTACAGTGCTGAGCTCAATGCCTGGCACTTAGCAAGTGCTCAGTAAACATGCTGGTGTAATACCTCAGATGTTATTTTCATTATACGATGAGGTGATATTCTCTCATTCCTAGATTCTGTAAGGACAATGATCTTTTCATATCTCCTCTGTGTTTGCATGAGGACCTTACCTCTTCAGTTTTCAACCATGGCATCTTGTCTGAAATGTTTATCTTCTCTGACTTGTGAAGAGGCTGTGCCTCTCTGTCCTGCTGACCTCTTGGTTCTCACATTCCCATTCTTAATACACCCCTCTGGCTGAGTCTTACTGATCAGTAGTCTATAAAACATTTATGATAGTTATATAAAACCTGTAAGATTTCATCCCTACGACCCAAAGATAATAAAGTTTAACGTATTTATCGATCCATGAAAATTATGGATATTTCTCAGTTCAGAGACCATCATTAATATTGGCTGTTATTCCCATCTGTCAAGTAACAATCATTTATTGAGTATACATTCTTTGCTTTTATGAATTTCTAAAGATTGAAACATCTTATAAAAATGCAAGTCCTCCTACAGCTGTTGATTTTAAGTTAGAGGTTTGCCCTATATTTCATTCCTTCATTTTTTGCTTACTTTTCCTTACTTAGACTGCTGAGTGGATTTTGCACAAGAAAAATTAATTTAGTAGATGAAAGTGAGACGCTGAACAAGCCTTGAGATTTGAGAAGTCAATACTTTGCATGTCTTATCTTTTCTCTGCAAATCTTAACCTTTTTTTTTTTTTTTTTTTGAGATGGAGTCTTGCTCAGTCGCCCAGGCTGGAGTGCAGTGGCGCAATCTCGGCTCACCGCAACCTCCACCTCCTAGGTTCACGCCATTCTCCTGCTTCAGCCTCCCGAGTAGCTGAGACTACAGGCGCCCGCCACCACACCCGGCTAATTTTTTGTATTTTTAGTAGAGACGGGGTTTCACCGTGTTAGCCAGGATGGTCTCGATCTCCTGACCTCATGATCCGCCCACCTCGGCCTCCCAAAGTACTGGGATTACAGGCATGAGCCACCGTGCCCAGCCACAAATCCTAACCTTCCTATTAACCTCAGGGACAACCACAGCGTCAGAGCTGTTATTCTACATATAAAATTTAATTCATTTGAGCACAACACTTTTTTTTTTTAACTTTTAGAGACAGGGTCTCGCTCTGTTGCCCAGGTTGGAGTGCAGTGTCTGGATCATAGCTCACTGCAGCCTCAAACTCCTCGGCTTAAGCAATCCTCCCAGCTTGGCCTCCCAAAGCACTGGGATTACAGGTAGGAGCCACCATGCCCAGCCAAGTACAACACATTTTTTTGTTTAATTTACTATGGGTAATTAATAGAAACATTCCCAAAGTTGAGGGAGCTTTACTGAGCAGAAGAAATGATATATCCTGTCCAGACACTGAATGCACTTCTTCCAAAGGCCAGGGCAAAGCTGGCTGATTTTACGTGTTTAAGGATGAAATATCTACTAGGCCTTCTTTCACCTAGAGGGGCCCAGCAGCAGTTCACTGGCAAGCTGATGTTAAAAATCTCCCATCTTCCCCTTTTATTGTCATTGTTTCTGGAACCAGAAAACAGCAGCAGCAGCAACAACAACAACAAAGGGGAAAAAGAAAGCAAAGCCTATAACTTGTTTTATAGAAGCACAGGAAACTAAGTATACTAAATTGGCAGGGATGAAAGTCTCATTCAACTTCAAAATAGTATACCTGATAGATTTCACAAACCTTTCTACTTTCTAGCCTGCTGCTTATTCAGTTGAAATATCAGCAATTCTGAAACCTTTGAATGTCCAAGTAAGGCCCAGTGCCAGAGGCATGCCCCTACCCATTTCTTTGTGCCTTCTGAGTTCTCAGGTTAATGAGAGATCAGAAAAGGGGAGAGTAAAGGAGAGTAGACAAAGAGGCTAACTCCCCAATCATGTTTTCTTCTTCTATAGTGTTTTGTAAAAAGCTGAAGAAATGCTAATAATTCTTGGCTGGCTAAAAGCAGGTTTAGAATTCTGTCCAGATATTCTTGAACCTCTGGCTGGACCGTGTGCCACCTTCCACATTACAGTCCCTCCATCACTTAATCCTACTTATGTTACATAAACTAGCTTTCCATATATAGTCATCATAGTGTCCTCACAGGCTAGTATTTAAGAAACCTCTTCTGTCCCTCTCTCACCCCTTCCTTGGGACTCTTGGAAATAAACAGGTGAAAGAGTTTAAATGAATGATGTCTAAAGCCATGAAATACAGTGATCATATTTTGTCTTATTTTTGATGACTAATCATATTTCTTCAGTTGAATCAATCAGAAGGATTTGCAGCACCTGAACACACACTCATAGGCCAAAAAGAGAAGACAACTAAAAGTCTCTCTAGTGTTACCCCATTTCCTCCTCATTCTACAGGAAGATGGGGTCCATGATACTTCATTTTAATTATCATTCTCAAAATCTGTTTCTGAACCCAACACAGGAAATTTATCAAGCATAGAGTGCCAGGTAGGTGAAGAACAAATATAGTCTCTGCCAAAGTAGTTTGAAGCATGCAGGATGCAGATTATGGCTGTTTTATTCAGTATTTAATATACCATTATTTACTGTTACTAAATATCATGATACTATTTATATAATGTCATAATGCTAAATATTTAATAATTTAATAAAATTCTGTTTCAGTATTTATGCAGTATTTGAGAAATTCTAAATTATGACAGTACTCAATGAGAGGTACCAGCTCCGTGGCCTGTCACACGTCAGGTAGCCTTTCTGGGTTTCCTCCTCTGAAATGAAAATACAGGCATACCTCATTTTATTATGCTTCCCTTTATTGTGCTTTGCAGATATTATGATTTTTACAAATGGAAGGTGTGTGGCAACCCTGCATCTAGCTAGTGTGTCAGTGCCATTTTTCCAACAGCATGTACTCACTTTGTGTCTCTGTCTCATTTTGGTAATTCTTGCAATATTTCAAACATTTAAATTATTATATCTGTTACGGTGATCTGTGATCAGTGGATCTTTGATGTTACTATTGTGATTGTTCTGGGCACCACAGACCACAGCCATGTAAGGCAGTGAAATTAATAAATGTTGTGTTCTGACTGCTCTACCAACCAGTCATTCTCCTGTCCCTATCCCTCTCCTCAGGGCTTGCTTTTCCCTGAGACACAACAATATTGAAATTAGGCCAATTAATAACCCTACAGTGGCCTTTAAATGTTTAAGTGAAAGGAAGAGTCACACATCTCTCACTTTAAATCAAAAGCTAGAAATGATTAAGCTTAGTGAAAAAAGGTATGTTGAAAGCTGAAATAGACCAAAAGCTAGGCCTCTTGAGTCAGACAATTAGCCAAGTGGTGAATGCAAAGGAAAAGTGGTTTTTTTTGGTTGTTCGTTTATTGGTTTTAAGAGACGGGGTCTTACTCTGTTGCCCAGGCTTGAGGGCAGTGGCATGATCATAGCTCACTGTGGCCTCAAATTCCCAGGCTCAAGCAATCATCCCACCTCAACCTCCCAAGTAGCTTGTACTACAGGCGCACACCACTGAGCCTGGCTAATTTTTTTTTTTTAATTTTTTGCAGAGATGGGGTCTCATTTTATTCCCCAGGCTGGTTTCAAACTCCTGGTCTCAAGCATCCTCCCATATTGGCCTCCCAAAATGTTGGAATTACACGCATCAGCAACTGTGTCTGGCCTAGAAAAGTTCTTAAAGGAAATTCAAAGTGTTACTCCAGTGAATAAATGCATGATAAGAAAGCAGAAACATCCTAATGGCTGACATGGAGAAAGTTTTAGATGGTCTGGGTAGAAGATCTAACCAACCACATTCCTACAGCCTAATTCAGAGCAAGTCCCTCTCTTCAATTCTGTGAAGGTTAAGAGAGGCAAGGAAGCTGTAGAAGAAGGATTTGAAGCTAGCAGAGGTTAGTTCATGAGGTTTAAGGAAGGAAGCTATCTTCATAACATGTAAGTGCAAGGTGAAGCAGCAAGTGCTAATGGAGAAGCTGCAGTAATTTACCCAGAAGATCTAGCTAAGATCATTGATGAAGGTGGCTACACTAAACACAGATTTTCAATGTAGACAAAACAGCCTTTTATTGGAAGAAAATGCCATCTGGGACTTTTATAGCTAGTGAAGACAAGTCGATGCCTGGCTTTAAAGCTTCAAAAACAGGCTGACTCTCTTGTTAGGAGCTAATGCAACTGATGACTTTAAGTTGAAACCAATGCTCATTGGTCATTCTGAAAATCCTAGGGACTTAAGAGTTACTCTGTATCTACTCTGCCTGTGCTTTATAAATGGAACAACAAAGCTGGGATGACAGCACATCTTTTTACAGCATGGTTTTCTGAATATTTTAAGTTCACTATTGAGACCTACTGTTCAGAAATAAATGATTCATTTCAAGATGTTAACTGCTCATTGACAATGCACCTGGTCACTCAAGAGCTCTGATGGAGATGTACAGCAGAATGTTGTTTACATGCCTACTAACACATCATCCATTCTGCAGTCCATGGATCAAAGAGTAACTTCAACTTTCAAGTCTTATTACTAGAGAAATACATTTTATAAGGCTATAGCTACCATAGATAGTGATTCTGCTGATGGGGAATCTGGGGACAGTAAATTGAGAAACTTCTGGAGGGATTCATTATTTTATTTATTATTTATTTATTTATTTATTTATTTATTTATTTATTATGAGATGGAGTCTCACTCTGTCTCCCAGGCTGGAGTGTAGTGGCGTGATCTTGGCTCACTGCAACCTCTTCCTCCCGGGTTCAAGCAATTCTCCTGCCTCAGCCTCCTGAGTAGTTGGGACTACAGGCACGTGCCACGATGCCCAGCTAATTTTTTGTATTTTAGTAGAGACAGGGTTTCACCATGTTGGCCAGGATGGTCTTGATCTCCTGACCTCATGATCTGCCGACCTCAGCCTCCCAAAGTGCTGGGATTACAGGCATGAGCCACCTCGCCCGGCCAGGATTCACCATTCTAAATGCCATTGAGAATATTCAAAATTCATGGGAGGTCAAAATATTAACATTAACAAGTGTTTGGAAGAAGTTGGTCCAACCCTCCTACATGATTTCTAGGAGTTCAAGACTTGAGTGGAGAAGTCACTGCAGATGTGGTATAAATAGCAAGAGAACTAAAATTAGAAGTGGAGTCTGAAGATGTGACTGAATTGCTGCCATCCCCTGATAAAACTTGATGAGCTGCTTCTTATGAATGAGCAAAGAAAGTGGTTCCTTGAGATGGAATCTACACCTGGTGAAGATAATGTGAACATTGTTGAAATAACAAAGGATTTAGAATATTAGCTGATAAAGCAGTGGCAGTGTTTGAGAAAATTTACTGCAATCTTGAAAGAAGTTCTGCTCTGGGTAAAATGCTATCAAACAGCATCACATACTGCAGAGAAATATTTTATGAAAGGAAGGGTCAAATGTTGCCTCTACCCCCAACCCTCCACATATGGGGAGTAACAGCAGGACACTGGGCCTAAAGAAAAATCATGCCCTTCATTTGTGGAAGGATCAGCTGACCATTAAGAATGTTGCCAAGGCTTGCAAATGTGATATACCAGTGGGAAAGCAAATGCAAGCAGCATGAAATAGCAGTATAGTAAGGGCCAGATCAAAAGCTGTGAAAGGAAGTGTGGTTAATATAAATACATCCTATCTTTCACACCAATCATGATTTTTCAGAATATGAGCTCATGAACAGCTGAAGGAGAAGATTCTTTTCTGCTTTATGACCAACTTTATTGCTTTACTATCTTACAAGTTCCATATTTTCTTGAATTTTGCCAATGGAGGTTTTACCTAACATGGCACCTTTTAGGAATGTAATCATCCCCACTCTCAGTTGGTGAGAGATTACTGTAACAAATTCTGAAACACTCACATAGATTCTTATGAATCATGTTTTTTTCCCCCCTGTCTTATGGTGCTGAATGAATCATGTTTAACTGAGAATTAGCTAAGGGGAGAGTAGAGCAGTAAGGACATAGATTTATCTCTATTTGTGTTTTCATTTACTACTTTTATCAAGAATAATAACATTTTACCTCTTTTTTAAATACCACTCTCTAGAAAGTAAATTCAGGAGTAAGAAACTCCTTACCTATTCAGCATAATCCAATTTATTGTTAATTCCATTGTCTATTAACATAGTAAATAGTGTGTTGGCTTGTAACACTTCCCTCATAGAAGTAACAAACCAACTTCAAATTTAAGAATGATGCCTCTTTTTTCTTGAGAAAGACACCTGTTCCAGTGCATAGAAATGGCTAGGGAAGATCTATATCTATATTTAGAAAGATATAATTTCAATAAATCACAGACTCTCAGGATTAAAAGGAATACTGAATGTTATTGAGTCTTTGACCAAAGGCAGTTTGGATTAGAAAGAATGTTTGCTGTGGAATTAGATGTCCTGGATCAAATCACAGCTTTACCACTTAATGACAGCACATTTCGGGTGATTTATTTAACCTCTCTGAGCCTTGGTTTTCTCATGTATAAAAAAGGGATAGTGTCTACATTATAGAGTTGGGGAGAGGATTGGAGATAAGCTACGTAAAGGAACTAGGACAGACACCATAAACATTTTAGAAATGACTGTGTTTGTTGTCATCATAATTATCTCACCAAGTGGTCATTGAACTTATTTAAACATTCTGGTGACATAGGATTCACTAACTGCTTCAGTTGTCATCCCATGTTCAGAGAACCCTTCAGTGTTACGTCTTCCCTTTACTGAGCCTAAATATTTTCCCCTAGAACTTTTATCCACGATTCTCATTCTTGCCAGTGAGGCTGCACAGATTAAGTCTACGTAACTAAATTAAGTGTGAAACTAGAATGGAATATATGCTTCAAGAGTGGTGTGACCAGTGTAGATACTATAGATTTCTCATCACAATTTAGGATCAAACTATCTTCCTTTTGCTAGTAACCACCCTTTTGATACCTACTGAATTTGTTGTTCATAAAGCCTATTCTTCACTAGAGTTTGGGTCCTCCATGCTGTACCAGTCACAATTTTGAGGGAGAGACTCAAGTGCAGGGCCTTACAATTTAACTTGTATCATATTTATCAATAAATGTTAAATTCCCTATGATACAACAAATATAATTTGGCTATTTAATCAGTTATAATGTCGTATGGCATACCCATAAGTTACTGTGACTGACAAGTGGTTAAGAACCTGGTGCATTTTATTTAACAAACACTTTATATAGTATTTAATATATACCAGCTACTGTTCTAGGTGCTTTGCATATATCAACTCATGTAATTCTCATAAACCTGTAGTAAGTACTATAATTATTCTCAGATAAGGAAACTGAGGCACAGAGAAGTTAAGTAACTCATTCAAGGTCAAATAGTAAGTCCTAAAGCCAGGATTGTACCTGGGCTATCTAATTCTAGAACCTGTATTCGTACTCATTATGCTCTGTTCCCAAATTTTTCTGTTACATAGATTGTTATGGCTTTTTTTTTTTTTTTTTTTGACAGGGTCTTGCTCTCTCACCCAGGCTGGAGTAGAGTGACAATGACCACTGCAGCCTCCACCTCCTAGGCTCAAGTGATCCTCCTGCTTCAGCACCCCCACACCAGGCAACATAACAAGACCCCCATCTCTACAAAAAATTAAAAAAGAATTATCAGGGTATGGTGACCCATGCATGTAGTCCCAGCTACTTGGGAAGCTGAGGTGGGATGATCACTTGAGCCCACGAGTTTGAGGCTGCAGTGGGCCATAACTGTACCATTGCACTCCAGCCTGGGCAACAGAGTGAGATCCTATCTCAGAAAAAAAAAAAAATATGGCTGCAGTGGGCCGTGTTTGTGTGGGACTGTTTCTGGGCTGTTTATTCTGTTCCACTGATCTTAAGTGTCTACCCTTTCACCAATACTAGATTATGTTGATTAATCTAGCTTTATAGTACAACCTAAAATCAGGTAGTTTGATTCTTCAACCTTATTTTTCTTTTTCAAACTTATTTTGACTTTTCTAATGATTTTAAATTTCTATATTTTAGAATAAACTTGCTATATTTAAAAATTTTAAATCATAATTTATATAAAATTTAAAATACAATTTAAAATTGTATTAATTTTAAGATCAGCTTGCTATATTTTACAAATTTGTTTTGTGAGTTCTGTTGAGATATTTAGTGGAATTGAATTAAACTATAGTGTCATGGGTTGAGTCTTCAGTTTTCTTTCTTTCCAGAGATGAGAGTCTTGCTATGTTACCCAGGCTAGAATGCAGTGGCTATTCACAGGCATGATTGTGCTACTATCAGCATGGGAATTGTGACCTGCTCCCTTTTCTACCTGGGCTGGTCCACCCCTCCTTAGACAACCTGGAGTACCCCACCCCTAGGAGGTCACCATATTGATGCCAAACTTAGTGCCAACACCCAAGCTGCATAGTGAACTACAGCCCAGAGCTCCTGGGCTCAAGCACTTCTCCTCCCTCAGACTCCTGAGTACCTGGTATTCTTCCAGTTCTGAACATAGTATATCTCTCCATTATTTATAGTTAGATCTTCTTTGATTGCTTTCATTAATGTTTTGTAGTTTTCAGCATACATATTCTATTCATGTTTTGTTAAATTCGTACCTTAGTATTTCAGTATTTTTGGAGCTATTGTAAATGGTATTGTTTAAAAAATATTAGTTTCCAGTTGTTCATTGCTGGTATATGGATGTAAAATTTTGAATGTGTGTTTACCTTTTGTCCTCTGACCTTACTAAAGTCAGTTCTAGGAGGTTTTTTTTAAATCACTTATTTGGTTTCCTATGTAAACAATCATGTCATCTGCAAATAGAGACATTTTTATTTCTTCTTTCCCTATCTGTATGTCTTTTATCTTCTTGCCTTATTACACTGAATGAAATTCCAATATAATGTCAAATAGCAATGGTGAGTGAAGACATTCTTACCTTGTTCCTGACCTTAATGGGTAGAATTCAGTCTTTCACCACATAATATATTAGATGTTGGCTTTTTGTACATGACCTTTATGAGGTTGTGAAATCCCCTTCTACCCTCGTCTGCTGAGAATTTTTTTTTTTTAATCTGAATGGATGTTGAAGTCTGTCAAATGTTCTTTCTCTCTCTCTTTCTTTCTTTCCTTTTTTTTTTTTTTTTTTTTGATAGAGTCTTGCTCTGTAGCCCAGGCTGGAGTGCAGTGGCATGATCTCAGCTCACTGCCACCTCCGCCTCCTAGGTTCAAGCAATTCTGCTTCATCCTTCTGAGTAGCTGGGACTACAGTCATGTGCCACCACACCCGGCTAATTTTTGTAGAGATAGGGTTTCACCATGTTTGCCAGGCTGCTCTCGAACTCCTGACCTCAGGTGATCTGCCTGCCTTAGCCTCCCAAAGTGCTGGGATTACAAGCATGAGCCACCAAACCCAGCCTGTTAAATGCTTTTTCTGTATCAAGTGGTATGGTCATGTAGCTTTTCCTCTTTACTGTAGTAATATGGTGGATTACATTGATTGATCTTTTGAATATTGATCCAGCTTTGCATTTTCAAGATAAACCTCATTTTGGCATGGTGTATAATATTTTTATATACTGATGGATTCAATTTGTTAATATTTTGTTGAAGATTTTTGTGTCAAGGTCCAAGGCAGATATTGTATGGTTTTTTCTTGTCCTGTCTTTGTCTGGCTTTGGTATCAATAATGCTGATTTTATAAAAATAAATTGGTAAATGTTCTCTCCTCTTCTATTTTCTGGAAAGAATTTGTGTAGAATTGGTATTAATTCACCTTAAAATGATTGATAGAATTTGACAGTGTAACCATCTGGGCTTGGAAAATTTTTTGAGAGGTTTTAAACTATGAATTTAATTTCTTTACAGGTATAGGATTCTTCAGGTTATTTAAATTTGCTTATGTGAGTTTTGATGGTTTGGTTTTGAGGAATTAGTCTATTTCACATAGGTTGTCATATTTATGTGTGTTGAGTTGTTCGTAGTATTTCCTTATTTTTAGAATACCATTGCATTTGTAGTGATATCTTCTCTTTCATTCCTGATATGGTAAATTGTGTCTTTTCTTCGTAATCTTGCAAGAGATTTGTGAATTTCATTGGTCTTAAAGAACCAGTTTTTTGTTTCATTAATTTTTCTCTATTGATTTCTGTTTTCAATTTCATTCATTTCTGCTCCTAGCTTTTAAAAATTTTCTTCCTTCTGCTTGATTTGGGTTTATTTTATTGTTATTAACTTTTTAGCTTCTTAAAGATCAGTGACGTGAGAACTTTCTTCTTTTTTAATGTCAATATTTCATGTTATAAATATAAATTTCCCTCTAAGGATTGCTTTAGCTGAATCCTATTCCACAAATTTTCATATGTTGTGTTTTCATTTTCATTCAGTTCAAAATATTTTTTCCTTTTGGCTTCCTCTTTGACCCATGGATTACTTAGAAGTATAATGTTTATAAATGTTTGGAGATTTTACTTTTATTTATTTCTAAGTTTATTCTATTATGATTAGAGAGCATATTTTATATGATTTCAATTCTTTTTTTAGGCTGGATTATGTTTTGATGAATGTGCTGTGCCATGTACATTTTAAAGAGTATGTATTCTGCTATTGTTGGGTGGAGTATTTTATAAATACCTATTAGGTACGGTTGGGTTGATGGTATGGTTCAATTTTTCTATATTTTTGCTGATTTTCTGTTTACTACTTCCATCCATCACTGAGAGAGGAGTATTGATGTTTCCAAATATAATTGTAGATTTGTCTGTTTCTCTTTTCAATTCTATCAGGTTATGATTCACACATTTTATAATGCCCTTCTTTATCTCCAGTAATTTTCTTTGCTCTGAAGTCTACTTTGTCTGATAGTAATATAACTATTCTCGCTTCCTTTTGGTTAGTGTTCACATGGCATATATTTTTCTATTTTTAACATACCTATATAAATGTATTTTGAATTGAGTTCTTTTTTACAACACATACGTAGCTCAGTCATGTTTTTGCGTACATTTTACCAACCTGTTCAGTGGGCATATTTAGGTGTTTTTCCATTTAATGTAATAATTGATATATTCAGATTTAGGCCTACCATTTTATTTATTTGTTTTCTATTTGTTTCCTTTATTTTCTTTCATGTATCTGTTTTCTCTTTTCTACCTTCTTTTGGGGCATTTGTATATTTTTTAAAATTCCATATTTTTGTTAGTTTTTGACTATGTGTCCTTGTTAAAAAAGTTTTTAATGATTGGGATCAAAATATAAATATTTAATTTTACACAACCTACTTAGAATCAATATTTTATAACTTCAAGGGGGATATAGAAATGTTATAATCATTTAGATCCTATTACCTTCCCTCTTTATGTTGCAGTTGTCTTATGTATTGCATTTACATACACTGAAAACCCCATTAATGTTATCAGTTTTGCTTTCAAACATGAAACAAATTTTAAGGAACTTAAGAGGTGAATTGTTTATTTACCTAGATATTTACCATTTCTGTTTTTCCTTCTTTATTCCTTGTTTTTGTTTTGTTTTGTTTTGTTTTCTTGGAGTCGGGGTCTTGCTCTGTCACCAAGGCTGGAGAGCAGTGGCACAATCATAGCCCACTGTAACCTCAAACTCCTGGGCTAAAAGTGATCCTCCCACCTCAGCTTCCGAGTCGCTAAGACTACCACCATGCCTGGCTCCTCCTTTATTCTTGATGTTTCAGGTTACCTTATGATGTCATTTCCGTCTGTCTGAAGAACTTCCATTAGTAATTCTTTAGACCAAGGTATGCTGACAACAAATTATCTTTGTTTTCCTCCCCCAAGAATGTGTTTATTTCAAATTTAATCATGAAGGATATTTGTGCTAAATATAGAATTCTGGGTTGACAGGTTTTTACTTTTAGCCCTTTAAGTTGTTCTACTTCATTCTAGCCTCCGTGGTTTCTGATGAGAAATCTGCAGTCATTCACACTGTTTTTCCCCTGTAAATAATGTATCATTTTTTTCTACCAGTTTTCAAGAATTTTTCTTGTTTCAGTTTTTAGCAGTTTGATTATGATGTGTTTGGGCATGAGTTTCTTTGGTTATACCCTGTTTGGTGTCTGAGTTTCTTGAATCTGTAAGTTTATGTTTTTTACCAAATTTAAGAAATTTTTAGTTATTCTTTCAAATATTTGGTACTACGTTGTATTCTTTCCTTTCTTCTTCTGGATCTCCGATATCATAAATGTTAGATATTTTGGTGGTGTCCCACCAGTCCCTCAGGCACAGCTTTTTTCCCCCAATACTTTTTCTCTCCATTGTTCACATTGGATAATTTCTGTTGCCTCATCTTCAAATTCACTGACTGTTTCCTCTCTCATCTCCATTCTGTAATTGAACCTATACAATTAGTTCTTTATTTTTGTTATTATATTTTTTAGTTCTGAATTTCAATTTCATTTTTTTATTATTTTTTGCATTTCTTTCAGGAACTTTTTAATCTTACGTTCTGGTACACTTTTCTAATAACTGTTTTAAAGCTATAGTCAGCTAATTCCAGCATCTATAGCATCCTGGCATTGTCCTCTATTGTCTTTTCCTAGGTGAGCTGAGATTTTCCTGGTTCTTGTATGCTGACTAGTTTTGAATTGTATCCCAGACATTTAATATATTATAAGACTCTGGGTTTTGTTTAAATCATATGGAGAATACTGATATTTTTGTTTTGGTGGGTAATAGATCTGTTTTGGTTCAAGTCAAAAGTTCCAGCCAACCTTCTGTCAGTTGTAGTTTCAATGTCAATTCTGTTTTCAAAAAGAATATTTTGCTTTCCATGCTATTTGGATCTATCCTCTATGTGTACTACCAGTCAGTAGTGGTAGGGTGGTGGACTTGTGTGGTAGACTCTCCTTTAGTTCAGTCTCAAAGTCTTTTTGGTACATATGCTGTTTGTGATCAGATCCATCCTTGTGCAACTTGAAGGTGAGTCTAGGAGGTTATAATCAACTTAACTACTACTTCTCTGAGTTCCTCCCTCTTCATGGTCTCTAGTACTTTCTTATTCCTGGGACTTCCTCTTTCAGTCCCACAGCCAGAAATCTAGTGCTTTAGTTACCCTGCTGTGGTATGTACTTTCTGGGGCTACACTATGTCCAGGGCTCAGCAGTGGAAGGACAGAGAAGAAAAAATCAACTGGTGTTTATCCCACCCTCCTGAGGCCCCAACTTCTCCATGGAAGAAGGTTCCCCTCCCTCAGAGATATTGGAGCTTGTCACCACCTGCTGACATTGCAGTCATTACCACTGCTTGGTTGGCAGGATTTCTAGGTGCCTGGGGCACTAGAGAATGGAGAACAAAAGAGAAGAAATTGGCAGATTTCTCCCACACTCTCTGAGTATTAGGAGATGCTTTTCCTGCTCCTTGAGCCAGAACTAGAGGGCTTCTCCTGGGGCTCTGTCTGTCTGTGCGTATTCTGAGTTTCAGACTGCCTTATTTCTAGACTGAGGTTCTGATAGGGAAAAAACAAAAACAGAAAACTCACTGCTTGTTCAGTAGTACTTTAAATTCTAGTCTTTTTCCCCAATTCACTTGGTACTTTTTATCTTTCAGTGTCCCCAAGTAGCTGTTTCATGCATTCTATCTAGGTTTTATAACTATATTTAATGAAAAAGACAGGGTGGGCTGGGCGCGGTGGCTCACGCCCTTAATCCCAACAGTTTAGAAGGCCGAGGTGGTCGGATCACCTGAGGTCAGGAGTTCAAGACCAGCCTGGCCAACATGTTGAAACCCAGTCTCGACTAAAAATACAACAATTAGCTGGGCGTGGTGGTGCACACCTGTAGCCTCAGATTGTGCCACTGCAGTCCAACCTGGGTGACAGAGTGAGACTCTATCTCAAAAAAAAAAAAAAAAAAAAAAAAAAAGACAAGGTGGAGTGTGCTTACTCCATCTTACCTAGAGCTGGAATGGAACATTGTTTTTAAATGGCTGTTATGGATTGAATGTTTTTGTATCCTCAAAATGCACAAGTTGAAGCTCTAACCCTGAAAGTAATGGTATTTAGCAATGAGGCCTTTGAGAGGTAATTAGGATTAGATGAGGTCATGAGAGTGGGGCATCATGATGGGATTAGTGCCCTTGTAAGAGGAGACACCAAAGAGCTCATTCATATTCTCTCTCTCTCTCTCTCTCTCTCCTTTTTGTGAGGACATAGCAAGAAGGCAGCTGTCTGCAAGCCAGAAAGAGAGGCCTCACCAGGAGTTAAATCAGCTGGCACCTTGATTCGGGACTTCCCAGCCTCTCAAACTGTGAGAAAGTAGATTTCTGCTGTTTTCGCCATTCAGTCTATGGTATTTTGTTTTGGCACCTTGAGCAGACAAATACAATTGCCAACATATTCATGAAAAAATTCTTGGCACTACATATTGCCTCATTCTTCCCAATTCAGTCACTACTTTTCTTTATAATTCTACCTGTACATGTTTTCTGCAAGATTTATAACAAATTATACTTAGCTGAATTTCTAGACAGAAATAGAAACAAATCCCCCAACACTAGATGGATAGCTTTAGAGATCCAATAATTTTGTGCCATGTAGTTGTAACACTTCAAATATATATATTTTGGTATGTCTTTTTTGAATTAATTTATTGCTTAATTGTTTGGTCTTCAGTCACCTTGACTAAATTTGCCTGATGTTTCTCTGTAAATAATCTCAAGGCTAGGTGACCTAGGTCCTGTTTGGGCCAATTATTTTTATTTTTATCTCTGAGAAGCTTGCCTCAAAGAGAACTTATGGTTAGGAGCCAACAGTCCATTTCTTTCACATACATCCTGTTAAACTATAAGAAACGAGGATCGTATTGAATAATATAAATGAGTAGAAGGAAGATAAAGCAATTTGCTTGTCTTCTGCAGATAGTAGTTTTAAATAAATTTTTATCTAATAGTAAACAGAACATGAGTAATTCTTGACCATCAAGAGAAGGACAAGTCCTTATAATTGGAGTGGAACTGGACTAGAACTAGGCTATTGTCTCAAGTGGGACGAAGACTCTAGAATAGATCAGTGAGCTTTGTACCTAAGGCAATTTCATGTTATGCTCTATTGCTTTCCACCAAATGGGCTTCTTTCTTTCTTCCCCCCCGCCGCCCCCAGTAATCTTCTCCATCTCATCCATTCCCTCTTCTTTTTCTCTTCCTCACAGTTTTTATATCTGTGAACCTGGATGAATTAGTAGATTTAAAGAAGTAATGGGATTGTAAAAAGCTGCTGATCTTTATCCTCTTTAAAAATCTGTCAACACCTCTCATCTTTTCCTTGTATGCTGCCTTCCTATTCCTGTTCCACCTTTCCATATTGTCCTTCACTTCATGGCCAGGCTTTAGCCCTGCCAGTGGTGGCCAGAGACATGAATTAACTCTGTTTGAGTCATTTAGGAATAAAAAGATTATTACTGACCTCAATTCTAGAATAAAAATACTGTAGTTTTTCTCTCCCACACTATAATTTTACTAAAATGTTACATTGTTCCAGAGTTAATCAGGATACTCTGTGAAATTAAACCTTAATTGTGATTTGGCTACTTCCATCTTAGAGAAAATTAAAAGAGAAATATTAGAAAATGATAATTTCAGGCTGGATGCAGTGGCTCATGCCTATAATCCCAACACTTCGTGATGACAAGGCGGGAAGATTGCTTGAAACCAAAGGTTTGAGATGAGCCTGGGCAACATAGTGAGACCCTGTCTCTAAAAATAAAAGTAAAAAATTAGCCGGGTGTTGTGGTGTGCCCCTGTAGTCCTAGCTACTTGAAGGCTGAGGTGGGAGGATCACTTGAGCCCAGGAGGTTGAGGCTGCAGTGAGCCATGATTGCGCCATTGCACTCCAGCCTAGGTGACAGAGTGAGACCCTATCTCTGAAAAAGAAAAAAGAAAATGATAATTTCATCAGAACTTGTTTGAAAGAGAAACGTTAGTTTCTTGAACAAAATTAGGAGTGCACATTTGAGGGAATTTTGGTTATTTCTACTGCAACTGAGGAAACAGGTATATTACTATGTTTGATTTGTAATTAACTAGGCCTCATAGCCCTTTTTTCACCCCTTCAGGGAACAGAATATTTCTTAAGTTTGACATTTCCTCTGTTGATGTTCCCTTTGGAAAACATAAAATATAAATAGTGATTAAGGTCTTTCCAGATAGTGTCCCATACCAAAGTGTAGAAAGAACATACATAATGTCCCATACCAAAGCGTAGAAAGAACATAACATGACATGATAATGTAAAGTAATATATGATGATATTTTTATCTCAGGGCTATATTATATCCAGCTGATAAGTTGTATTTGTATGTTTGTTTATAATTGAAAAAGTATGTAGTCTTTTAGTCACGGAGCTTATGAGTACTTAACTGAGCATCTCTCTGATACGTAAAAAAACTGCTAGCATGAGAAGTACAAAGGTACAAAGATTTACCTAGTAATTTTTTTTTTTAATCTCTAAGAAACTTCAGTGGAAGCAGGACTGCTTCCACTGTAGTGAAAGCTAAGATGTAGTTAGGAGTTGTCAAGCTTTACACTAGAGCCTATATGAAGTTTTGATTCTAAGTGTTAATGTACCTTCTGACAACTGTGAATGAACCTTGTTCCTGGGGAGCGCGTTCTGGTTTTCTCTTTGCACAGTTAAGCTGAGACTAGCATCATTCTAGTTTGCAGGTGACATTCTCTGGGAAGCTAGTCTATGGGGGAGATGACATCTTCTGAACCTAGTCCCCACAGAGAACTTTGAATGAGTGGAATCAAGAGGTTGCCTGCATTCTTGCTCATGTCACAATGCTGGACATGTGACTTCAGAGAAGCATGTGCCAGGTCAATATGATTGGGCTGTTCTCACAATACAAGGCCTTGACCATAGAGTGATTCAGAGGCAAATGCAGCCTTCTTAGACTCTTAACCAAAACATTGGCATGACATAAAATTATAATTAATAAAAGATATACAGTTATTTCAAAAGTACCGTTTTATTGGGACATCTCAAAGGACTAAGAAAATGTTTATTTTCTTATCTCCTATCTTTTGTTAATAGCTGTTCATCGCTCATCAGCCTTTACTGAAAGCTTATCATGTATCAAACAATATGCCAGGTGTCAGAGAGGGCAGCAAAGAGAGTACAATTGAGTTAGATAGAGTACCTGCACTCAATAATAATAACAGCTAACACTTACATAGTGCTTTCTGCGTGCCAGGCTTGTCCTAAGTGATTTTACACACACACACACACACACACACACACACACACACACACACACACACTCCCTCACTCAGTCCTTATAAAAACCCACTGATAGGCCGGGTGCGGTGGCTCATACCTGTAATCCCAGCAACTTTGGGAGGCTGAAGCAGGCAGATCACTTGAGGTCAGGAGTTCGAGATCACCCTGGCCAACATGGTGAAACCTCATCTCTACTAAAAATACAAAAATTAACCAAGCATGGTGGCAGGTGCCTGTAATCCTAGCTACTCAAGAGGCTGAGACAGGAAAATCACTTGAACCTGGTAGGTGGATGTTGCAGTGTGCCGAGATCGTGCCACCACACTCCAGCCTGAGCAACAGAGTGAGACTCTATCTAAAAAAAAAAAAAAAAAAATTAAAAACCCAATGAGGTGGCTACTGTTATCATCCCCATTTTACGGATGAGGACATGGGTACATAGAGATTAAGTAACTTGCCAAAGATCTCACAACTGGTAAGTGGCAGAGCAAAATTTGAAAACAAACAATCTGGTTCCAGAAACTGTACTTTTAACCTCATGATAGCTTCCTGAGGAATTTATGATCTGAGTATATATAGTAAGTACCTCCCCTTTCAGGGTAAGGCAGTAGGTAATGGTGAACAGGGAAGCAAAAGGTGACTCAGGTTGAGTAAACAACACCAAGCATATCTGACTCAAGGAATGCTTCAGAGGCCAGGGGTGCATGCCTGTAATCCCAGCACCTTGGAAGGCTGACACAGGAGGATCACTGGAGCCCAAGTTCAAGACCAGCCTGCACAACATGACAAAACCCTCTCTTTACAGAAAATACCAAAATTAGGTGGGCTTTGTGGCGCATGCCTGTAGTTCCAGCTACTTGGGAGGCTGAGAGTTGGGAGAATCACTTGAGCCTGGGAGGTCGAGGCTGCAGTGAGCTGTGATCGTGCCACTGCACTCCATCCTAGGCAATAGAGTGAGACTCTGTCTCAAAAAAAAAAAAAAAAGAAAAAGAAAAAGAAGAAAAAAAGGAATGCTTCAGTCTGCTCCAAAGAAAAGAATGGAGTAATGTGAAGTATTAAATGTAGCAAGATGCCACTGCAGTAGCTCACACCTGTAATCCCAGCACTTTGGGAGGCTGAGATGGGAGGATCACTTGAGCCCAGGAGTTCAAGACCAGCCTGGGCAACATAGTGAGACCCCATCTCTTAAAAAAATAATAAAAAGTAAATAAAAATAAATGTAGCAAGAAATTAGAAATCTTTATGAACAGATGGCAATCCAGTTTAATGTTATGTGCATGGCCACAACCCTTATTCCACTACATCCTCCTTTCACATATATATTATGAAGGTTAATGAATACAATCATTGTGATAACATTTCTTTTCTCCCTTTCTCCCTCCTCTGGTAGAGTACTCACATAAAGGCTGCATTCACAATTGAGGTTAGAACTTGTCTAGGCATGTCTAGTGAGCAATGGGAGGAGTCTGCTAGGAAAGTACTTTCAGAATACTGGAAACCTTAGGGAGAAAACTCCTCCTGAAGGTAGAAAATTGCAGAAATTATAATAAAGCCTCAGCTGCTATAGGAGAAGGATAGCTTTAGTACTTTTGGTAGGGAAGCAGTGTAGCAGCAAATTTTAAGAGATATATGAGAGGTATTTAAGTGGATCATGCCTGTAGGTCATTTAGTAGTAGTATGCAATCAATAAATATTCATTATTACTTGTGTGACAGTGCTTACCCCACACTGTCCTTTATAGAAACATATTTGCAGAGACCTGGGGAGAAAATGCAAACATGCCAGAGGGCTTCATAAGACCATACATACCCTTTAATGACTCCATTAAGTGTTATCAACAAATGTTAGTAATAATAAATATAGTTATTATCATTATTGTTCTTATTACAGCCTCATTTTATGTTATTACTGATTTTTTAATGGGGTCAGTGAGAAAATAAGACTTCATTCTCAAAATATTCAAATGTCTAGTCAGATCCTGGCAGCAGCTGCAGCGGCTCTCCTTGCCATCTCCTTTTCACTTCTGGAAACATGGGCTCCCATGTGGCTGTCTTTGATGATGTCATCAAGGTGTTCAGTGACATGAAAGTGTGCAAGTCTTCAACACTAGAAAAGGTGAAGAAGCGCAAGAAGTTGCTGCTCTTCTGCCTGAGTGAGTACAAGAAGTACATCATCCTTGCGGAGGCCAAGAAGATCCTGGTAAGTAATGTGGACCAAACCATTGATGATCCCTATGCCACTTTTGTCAAGATGCTGACAGTAAGGACTGCCGCTACGCCCCTTATGACGCCACCAAGGACAGCAAGAAGAAGGACCTGGTGTTTATCTTCTGGGCCTCTGAGTCTGCATCCATTAAGAGCAAAATGATCTATGCCAGCTCCAAAGACGTCATCAAGAAGCAGCTAGGGGTCAGCACTGTCGTCTTCTTGGAGGGCAAACTTTGTGATCCCCTCCAGCGCCCTTCCTGGAGAATCTACTAGTCCCAGACCTGCCCTCAGGGATTGCAGGCTGCCCCCTTCCTGCCAGACTGGAGGGCCTGGGGGAATCCCAGCAGAGGGAAGGCACTCCCTTCACCCCAATTGCCAAACAGCCCCCCAACTCCCTGGATTTTCCTCCTCTCTCCATCCCTGACAGTTCTGGCCTTCCCAAACTGCTTGGATCTTCTGATTCCTCTTGGGTTGAAGCAGACCAAGTTCTCCCAGGAACCCCAGTTGGGGAAGGCCTATATATATATTTTAAAAACAACCCCACTCTCCACCTGTTCCTCCACCTTCCCATGCTACAACTTCTAACCACAACAGTGACTCTGTGCCTGTCTGTTTAGTTCTGTGTATAAATGGAATGTTGTGAAGATGGCCCCTTCCCATGCCAGCTGGTTCCTCTCCCTTGGTTATGGCCGCTAATGGAAACCGGACTAGTGAGCGACCTTTAATTTTTAAAAAAAGAAAATACAATAAAATAATACTCAAATGTTTAAGCAGATTTCCCAAAACAGAGTAGAATAGAATTCATATGAATAAGCAAACAATTTAATTGTTACTACTGGCATTATGTTATGGATTTTGCTTTCCTACAGAAAATAACTCCACAACTGATTTTATTAGTATAGAATTAATTTCTTGCTAAGAGTCATTTTTGCTTATCTCACCATTGGATATTTGCAAAGTCACTAATATTTCTTTTATCCATCATTCATATGTAAGTAAATATGTACCTTACTTCCTCTTTCCAGGCAAGTAGAGGTTCCAAATATAGCCATGTGTCACATAACAGGGATTTGTTCTGATAAACGAATCCATAGACAATTTTGTCTTTGTGCAAACATGATAAAGTGTACTTGCACAAACCTAGATGGTGTAGCCCACTACACACCTAAGCTATGTGGTATAGCCTGTTGCTTCTAGGCTACAAACATGTACAGCATGTTACTATACTGAGTACTGTAGGCAAGTGTAACATAATGGTCAGTATTTGTGTATCTAAACATACCTAAATATAGAAAAGGTACAGTAAAAATATGGTATAAAAGATAAATGGTATACCTGTATAAGGCATTTACCATGAATGGAGCTTGCAGGACTGGAAGTTGCTCTGGGTGAGTCAATGAGTGAGTGGTGAGTCACTGTGAAAGCCTAGGACATTATTGTACACTACTGTAAACTGCATAAACACTGCACACTAGGCTACAATTTATGAAAAAATTTCTTCAATAATAAGCTATTAAATAACATAAAGTTGTAAATAATAATAAATTATGATTACATATCAACAATATTTTCTTTATATCCTATAAGCTTTTTTCTATTTTTAAATTAATTTCTTAAAATTTTTTAAACTTATTTTGTTAAAAACTAAGACACAAACACCCATGTAAGCACAGGCCTACACATGGTGAGGATCATCAGTATCGGTGTCTTCCACATCCACATTTTGTCCACTGGAAGCTCTTCAGAGTTAGTAACATACACGGAGCTGTCGTCTGCTGTGATATTGAAGCTGTTTTCTGGAATACCTCCTGAAGAACCTGCCTGAGGCTGTTTTACAGTTAACTAAAAAAAAATAAGTAGAAGGAGTACACTCTAAAATAACAATTAAAAGTATGGTATAGTAAATACATAAAGTGGTAACAGTTGTTTATTATCATTATCAAGTATTACATAGTGTACATAATTGAATGTGCTATACTTTTATATGACTGGTAGTGCAGTAAGTTTGCTTGCACCAGCATCACCGCAAACTGTGAGTAATGCATTACTCCATGACGTTAGGATGGCTAGGTTCACAAGGCGATAGGAATTTTTCAGCTCCATTATAATCATGGGACTGCCTTGGTATATGCGGGCTGTTGTTGACAGAAACGTCATTATGTCACGCAAGACTAGATAATGAGGGAATCCTTTTCCTCCTAATTGGTTATTTGAGCTGTTTAATCTCCCTTCCACTCCCAGCAAGTGTAGTCATTAAAATACCTTACATAACTATGGAGCCTTCATGATTAGAACTGCGATATGATGATGTTACATACCCACTCAGGGTTCTCTGCTTCAGGGCCAAAGTTTGGGCAATGTCACACCTATTGTACTTTTTGGATGGGTTTCTCTGTCATGAGAGGAATGGGAAATGAAAGAAGGATGAGCCCAATGTAATTCTGAGAATCAGATTTAACTAGTATCTGATAAAGCTTGCAAAATTTCCATGTTGATAAGTTGATCTAATTTATTTGTTTAACCTGCTGTATAATGTTTTATCATATGAAAATATCACATTTGATTTATCTATATGGAACATTTAGATTCTAATTTTTTGCTGTTTTAAATAATATTTCCATGAATTTCCCTATATGTTTCTGCTTTCAATATATGAAAGTTTTGCTAGAGTAGGGGTCTTTAAACTTTTTTGTTAGCTTATCCCACAAACAATTTGGAAAAACTTTTCCTCTATACACATGGTAGAGTTAGAATTGAACTTTTTTATTCTAAGTTTAAGTAGGTGGAAAGGAAGTAATTTCCTAGTTATGTAACTTTTTTTTTTTTTTTTTTGGAGACAGAGTTTTTGCTCTTGTTGCCCAGGCTGGAGTACGATGGCGCAATCTTGGCTCACTGCAACCTCCACCTCCCGGGTTCATGCGATTCTCTCCTGCCTCAGTCTCCCGAGTAGCTAGGATTACAAACACCCGCCACCACGCCCTGCTAATTTTTTTTTTTTTTGTATTTTTAGTAGAGACAGGGTTTCACCTGTATTTTTAGTAGAGACGGGTTTTCACCATGTTGGCCAGGCTGGTCTCGAACTCCTGACCTCAGGTGATCCACCCGCCTCGGCCTCCCAAAGTGTTGGGAGTACAGGCGTGAGCCACCATGCCTGGCCTATGTAACATTTAAAGTAGAATTCTTAAGTGTATCCAATATTCATAAATACCATAGTAATTTGTTGCCATTGCCCATCAAAACATTAAAAAAACGAACAAGCATTTTTTACAATGGGAAATTTTACATCATTCTTTTTTCTCTTTGAACTTGAATTTTTTTTCCAATTCTGATACAGATTTTTATTTGGATGTAATATATATTATGTGTGAATATCTTTTATTGATGATGACTGTATCATATTTCCATGCAACAAATTTTATAAAAATTTAAATTGTGTTAAATTTTCTGGACCATAATGCTCCTCAGTGTTAAAAATTATTCCAAATTATCATTAATATTTTTGTATAATCAAATAAATACTTTTAAATTTTGATAATTATTAAATATAAAAAAATCAACTGGGCTTAAAAAATTGGTTTATATATCACAAATGAATTTTATATATTCCTAGAAGGAGACAAGTTCAGCATTAGATCATTTATCCCTAGTTTTTGCTTTTATGTTGTAAACATTGAGTAATATTATTCACATAAGTAGATGGTGAGTGAAAGGAAGTGTTTTAGCAGTGTTACTCATTTATTTGAAAGCTTCCCAAATTATATGTCATACATCACTTAGTGATCTTATTTGTAATGATTTTTCAATGAATAGTTTCAATAGGTTCTCCTTCAATTTACCAGAAAAAAAATTAATGTTAAACAGGTTAACTTTTAAAAGGGTTTGTTGGTAAAATTATTCAGCTACTTAGCAGCAATATCATTATTGCAGATGATCTCTTTAGCTCCTTGCAGGTTTTTACACTTTCAGGCAGTACATCGTTTCAGCATTCAGATGGAGAGGGGTATTCTGTTCTCTTTTAAAGTGGGATAAAGGGCACTGTGAAAGGGGAAATGGGGACAAGGAACTACTAGGTCCACTTGACTACACTAGTTCTGAGGCACATCAGATTTAGGAGAAAGTGTATATGGAAGTTATGGAATTGATTCTCTTGAAACTAAGAACCTTATTTCTCCTATTTGAAGACCACTACTCTGATGTTTATACCCAAAAGTGGAATTGCTTGTGTTGGAGTCTCCTAAGCTGTGTAACTGTTTCACTGAAGTCACATCACTGAGGACATTGCTGTGCCTCTCAAGGACTCAGGAACAGTCCCTCTGTCCATATATGTAAGTCATAGCAATCTTCTATATTTGGGAAAAATCCCTTGGTCGCCTTATTTAAATAACTGGTGAGCAATGAGTAGTAATCCATCAGTGTTCTATGAGACACCAAATTTCTTTCTATAATGTGGCTTTTGACAACTTCTGGAAGTATTTTTATTCATGATTCTCACATTTCTTTCTTTAAAGGGCATCATTAGTCTACCATCAACCAAGATGTTATACAAAGACAGCATCGTAATTCATTTACATTGAGTGCCCTAAAGCACAAATGCCTTTAAGGCCTTCTTTACTCTCTATTAATTGCAAAATAAACAGATGTCTACTGGAGAAGGTTATTAGAAATAATTTGTGCAGTTTGGGAGAACTAGGGGTCAGGATTCCTTGACTCAGCTTCTGAAACAAACTCAAGCCCACTAAACCACCAAGGTAACTACATCCAGAAATCTGCAAACCAGAAAATGTTTGCCCTGAATAAGGTAAAGGACAAAAAAGAATAAGGGCAAACATTTTCTGGTTTGCAGATTTCTGGATGTAGTTGCAAAGGACAGTACATTTCAAAAACAGAGTAATGGCCATTCTCAAGCAGGACTCAGTTTAATTCTACTTGAAAAGAGTGAGAACATTTAATGTGCCAAATTCAAGTCATAAGGAAAAGTTGACCAGTTAATAGGACAAATGCCACAACATTGTAAAATAAACAAGATTTGAAATGCAGAAAATCCTATTTTACAATGAACAAGTCTACAAGAACACAAGAATAAAGCACACCTTAATTAAGTCCTCCCTCTTACTTGTTTCAACAGGTGAGGTAGGAAAACAGTGGTCCTATGAGTGGCAGCAGCCAATGGCCTGGGGCTGCACCCTGGGAGCTAGCCAAGACAAAGATGCCATGTCCAGAAAAGAAATTTCAGAAATGACTTATGGCTCAGAGCCATGTATGTAAATGAGGTTATTTTTTTTTTCTCTGAAAATGGTCTGTTTCTATCCATTAGCTTTCTCCCAGTTCCCTGACTTCATAAAATTTATGTTAAGGATTTGAAATATTCCCAGATTAATTTTCAAGTACCATGACTTTACTTAGAGACTTCATTTTTCTTTAGGGTTCCCTGCAATGCAAACCTGTACCTTCTTTAATAAATGTAAATATTTAAGCCACGTGAGGTGGCTCACACCTGTAGTCCCAGCACTTTGGGAAGCTGAAGCAGGTGGATTACTTGAGGTTCAGAGTTCAAGACCAGCCTGGCCAATATGGTGAAGCCCTGTCTCTACTATAAATACAAAAATTAGCCTGGCATAGTGGTGTGTGCCTGTAGTCCCAGCTACTTGGGAGGCTGAGGCAGTAGAATCGCTTGAACCCGGGAGGCAGAGGTTACAGTGAGCCAAGACTGCCCCACTGCACTCCAGTCTGGGCACTCCGTCTCAAAAAAGAAAAAAAAAAAAAGTAGTACATTTAGTACAATTAAGTAACAAAAATCTACAAAAGGGAACTGTTCTATTATATTTAGAAAAGATAAAATTTCCCTCCTAAGCTAGTTCTGACATTAGGTTTTTCTATGGTATTCTTTCTGAAGTTCCTACAAGAGAGAAAAATCTAAATCACAATAGGAGTATTTTTTGAACTTATTCTATTGATCTTAAAACATTGTTTAATAAGAGACTTATAACTGGGCAGGGCCTAGAACTGCTTTATTTTATTATTTAGTGTAACCATGAAATTAAACAGTGGTCTACCATTGGGGACCAAGGTCAGATTCAAAAAGATTTAAATATAAATTAAAGCTACTACACATTTATGTGGTTGAAAAATCAAAAGGTACAAAACAACAGCATCACATATGATATCACTTGTGGCCCTTGCAGTTGTGTAACTTGGCAGTCCTGTATATATCACCTTCCCAGGGGATCTCTCAGCCATATCAGTTTCTTGTATATTAATAAGGGGAATCTTGAAAGATAGAGGTCAAGAGGAGAAAAATAGGGATTGGAAGAAAGAATGGCAAGAGAGGGCAGGAGAAAGGAGAGTGGAACGATGGACGAAAAGGGAAAGACTGAGGCCTTATACAAAGGATTGGCAACTTTCTCCCAGCCCTCTCTTGCAGTTGTCCTTGGTGTGTGTGTGTATATTTGTACATGAATAGAAGAGGAAGAAATGGAAAGCTGGTGGGGGCGGGGGGAAGCCACTTATCTGGGGAAGGATAGTGGTGAGCCCTGGAGAATTTTTAACTTAGTGCATGCATTACTTGAATAAAGTTCCTTGTATTGCCTTTTCTGATATCATTTTTATCTAGACTCATCCAAGAATATGTTAGTATTTTGAGATTTAGCTTTTGGGAAAAAATTCAAAGCTAATAAGCATAAATATTTGTGCAAGAAAGAGAAGCAGATATGCAGACCTCTACCACCTCTTACCAGAGACAAACTAACCTTTCTCCAGCACACATTGGCCTGATGAAATCTAGAATTAAGCTTTCTCTCAGCACTGACCTGCCTCAGACTGCAAAGAGGTTTTCTAACTGGTTTTGAGCCATGATGAAGGTGCTGACTGTAACTGCATGGCAGCATTTTCATTGACTCCAACTCTTCAGCAGGTGGCAGCGTTCTCCTTGCTCCATGTGGGTTTGGTGTTTCCTTCCTTTCAAAAGAGCACGGGCCTCACAGTCCCTTTTCTGTCTGCGGTCCACATGTAACGGCTGCCTCCTTTATATTCTTGTCTGAAAGACACTCTCCCAGTAATCTTAGGAACTAAGGAGGAGAAACAAATTTGCAACATGTGGCTATTCATGTTTTAATGTTTGATCCTTAAGGTATTTAGCGTCATGGGCTAATTTCAAGGCACTTAAGGTTAGAGAGTGAACATCGGGAATCATTCATTCACTTATCCTTGTTTTTCTCCATCCCAAACCCTATTTATCATCTCTATTTAAGCAATCTCCTTGTTTTCTTTGTTCACTCCTTTCCAAGCCTTGAAAATGTCATTAAAAACCATCTCTAGTCAAATTTCTAACTAACTCATTTAGGTTTCTATACAAGCTAGACTTTCTTACCATCTTTATTCACTGATAGGGTATATCAGGGAATTCTCCGGGCTCCAACTGAGGATCCCTCACTGAGTTGCTGTGTAATCTGGGGCATGTAAACCCTTTGCGCCTCAGTTTCTTCATTTGTAAAATGAGATTGGTAAACTAGCGGGTCTATGAAGTTTTTTTCTAGCTCTTATGCACTGGATGATAAAGCAGTCTGCCACTCTCTTGAATGGAAGAAGATGGGGGTACTGTGCTGTCATATGATTATTTTTCGAGGACATTTTCTTTGAGCAGCAAAAGTTATTAAATAGTACAAAGAGTAAAAAATAGATCTGGTCAAGACCATTGATCTGGGGAAGAGAGGGTATTCAGGATAAGATACAGCCTGTCTACCACACATCTCTACTATGTACCATTTATGGCAGATATTCCCATGTATTTCTATTGTCCAGCAAACACCAAACAGACCCTTACGCTTAAATTCTGGAAATTCTTTAGGGTGCTCATTTATTTTAAAATACAATTAGAATCGAGCTTCTTTCCTGGTTATTTAATATTCTCTTGATAATAGACATATATTTTTAGTTTTAATTCTAATGGATGAAATCACCTTTCTACCTTATAAATATAATAATCATTGTAAAGAACCTTTGAACCATATAAAAAACAATAAATAAAAAGAGAAATTTATCTCCCTTGGAAGCCTTCCCTCTCTATCCTGCCCTCAGAGAGAATGTGTTATCTCATCTCTTATTCTTCCAGATAATTTGTATGTATTTATGCAAACACATGTATATATATATGTATTATCACTTTTGTTTTATTTCATTGAATTTTAATGAATCTTTTGGGAAATACATTAGTCCTAGAGTAGAATCATGCTGTAAAATAGATGAGTAAGCACATTAACAAACTAGAAGATTAAGGAGCAAAATAGAAAACAACTGAAAACATTCAGTTGCTAATCAAATTGTCAGCTGATAGGATTCTTAAATGACAGATATTCTAGGCAGAACTGACCTGAGAGAAGGACTACGTAAAATGGTCTGTTTTGGGGGGTTATTTATAGGGGATAGGACTAGGGTCATTGTGGAAGATGGCCACCAACAATTCCTCCATGCCTCTACACGCATGCCACCCTTCCCACCAAAAGGAGATGGAGTCTGTTTCCCCTCCCTTGAATCTTTTTTCAGCTTCCCCAGTAGCTAGAACTACAGGCACATGCCACCATGCCCAGCTAATTATTATTTTTTTGTAGAGACTGGGGTCTTGCTATGTTGTCCTGGCCTCAGGCAATTCTTCCCTCTCAGCCTCCCAAAATGCTGGGATTATAGGTATGAGCCACCATGCCTAGCTAATTTGGTTTTTAAATATTTTATTTTAAAAGAATTTTTTTTTTGAGGCAGAGTCTCGCTCTGTTGCCCAGGCTAGAGTGCAGTGGTGCGATTTCGGCTCACTGCAACCTCTACCTCCCGAGTTCAAGCGATTCTCCTGCTCCACCCTCCCAAATAGCTAGGATTACAAGCATGCGCCACCACTCCCAGCTAATTTTTGTATTTTTATTAGAGATGGGGTTTCACCATATTGGCCAGTCTGGTCTCAAACCCCTGACCTCAAGTGATCCGCCTGCCTTGGCCTCCCAAAGTGCTGGGATTACAAGTGTGGGCCATCGTGTGTGGCCTGGAAAAAATTCTAGACTTAGAAAAAAGTTGCAAAAATGGTATGGATTTTTTTTTTTTTTTTTTTTTTTGACACAGGGTTTCACTGTCACCAGGCTGGAGTATAGTGGTGCGATCACTGCTCACTGCAACTTTGACCTCCTGGGGCTCAGGTGATCTTCCCACCTCAGCCTCCCAAGTAGCTGGGACTATAGGCACACACCACCATGCCCAGCTAATTTTTGTATTTTTTGTAGAGACATGGTTTTTCCATTTTGCCCAGGCTGGTCTCAACCTCCTGAGCTCAAGCAATCTACCCACCTGGCCTCCCAAAGTGCTAAGATGACAGGAGTGAGCCACCATGCCTGGCCTGGTGTGGAGTTTACGTATACTTGTTATCCAGCAGCCCTAGTATTGATAACTTTTTTTTTTTATAAAGAGATGGGGGTCTTGGCCAGGCACAGTGGCTCACGCCTATAATCCCAGCACTTTGGGAGGCCGAGGTGGGCGGATTGCGTGAGGCTAGGAGTTCAAGACCAGCCTGGCCAACATGGCAAAACCCCATCTCTACTAAAAATACAAAAATTAGCTGTGCGTGGTGGCATGCGCCCATAATCCCAGCTACTTGGGAGGCCAAGGTAAGAGAATCGCTTGAACCAGGAGGTGAAGGTTGCCGTGAGCCGAGATTGCACCACTGCACTCCAACCTGGCTGACAGAGTGAGATTCTGCCTCAAAAAAAAAAAAAAAAAAAATTCCCTGCTTTCAAGAGACGGGGTCTCACTATGTTGCCCAGGTTGGTCTCGAACTCCTGGGTTCAAGCCATCCTCCCACTTCAGCCTCCTAAAGTGTCAGAATTACAGGCATGAGCCACTGTTCCTGGCCAATAACTTATTAATAGCCACAGAACGATTATCAAAACCAGGAAATTAGCACAAGGTACGAACCTTATATGAAATTCACTTGTTTTTGTAGTGATGTTCTTTTTCTGTTCCAAGATTTAATCCAGGTTCCCTTACTTGCTCTTAGTTGATATGTCTCCTTAGTCTGGGGAAAAGACTTCTAACAGAGCTGGAAGAGCAGTGAGAAAATTGCTATTGAAGGTTGGAGAAATGGTGTTAGTAGTGGCAAGATGTTTGACAACCCTTGTGGTCAGATGTATGGTAAAACATAGAAGACAGAAAGTGTACCTAATAAACTTGTGGATTTGGCAACATTCAGGCTGAATGTTCAGAGTGACAATTGGCTTCTTTTAGGGATGTACGAAGATACACAAGTGATGTATGATGATAACACAAGAGACAGAGATGTGTTAAAAAAGGAACTATCCCATTTTTAAGCAGAGTCTCTTTATGCCAGAAAGACTCTCAAAGTAAGAAATGGCCTCAAGGGCCTGCCTGTAGAATTGGCCTCAAGTTAAAGATCTTATCGAGACTTGGTGCTAAGACCTCTAAAATATTTAAGATATTGCCTCTCATCTAGACAAAAGGTCTTCTAAGAATCTTAAGTGTTGTCCCACAGTAGTCACCTCTACAGGTCCACAGTAGAGAGAGGTTTTTTAAATTTTTAATTTAAATTTTTAATTTTTTTCAGAGACAGAGTCTCGCTATGTTTCCTAGGCTGGTCTCAAACTGCTGGCCTCAAGCAATCCTCCCACCTTGGCCTCCCAAAGTGCTAGGACTACAGGCAGAGAGGTTTGTTTTTGAAAGAATTATAGATGTTGCTTTGCGGGCAAGAAGTGAACCCCAATAAGAGTCACAAAATTTTAAAGAGAGTTATATGGATAAAATTGCACCAGCTTGGACTAAGGAAGAGACAGTTCAAAATGAAAAAACCTTCCAAGCCCCCAACTTCCTACGGGCAGGAAGCAGGCTGAGAGAGTTATTTAACTGTAAAAGGAAGGAAGGCAGTTTCTTTTCTTTTTTTTTTTTGGTGGTGTTAGTAACTTTTATTGAAGCGGCAGTGTACAGCAGCAGAGGTACTGCTCCTTGCAGAGCAGGCTAACCCACAAGCGATGTGCCCGGCGTAGCTGCTCAAAAGCAGTTCTGCGCTTATATTTATACCTACTTTTTTGTTTTTGTTTTTGTTTTTTTATTATACTTTAAGTTCTAGGGTACATGTGCACAATGTGCAGGTTTGTTACATATGTATACATGTGCTGTGTTGGTTTGCTGTACCCATTAACTGGTTATTTATATTAGGTATTTCTCCTAATGCTATCCCTCCCCCATCCCCCCCACGACAGGCCCTGGTGTGTGACATTCCCCGCCGTGTGTCCAAGTGTTCTCATTATTCAATTCCCACCTATGAGTGAGAACATGTGGTGTCTGGTTTTCTATCCTTGTGATAGTTTGCTCAGAATGATGGTTTCTAACTTCATCCATGTCCCTACAAAGGACATGAAGCTCATCCTTTTTTATGGCTGCATAGTATTCCATGGTGTGTACGTGCCACATTTTCTAAATCCAGTCTATCATTGATGGACATTTTATGTTGGTTCCAAGTCTTTGCTATTGTGAATAGTACCTCAATAAACATACGTGTGCATGTGTTTTTATAGTAGCATGATTTATAATCCTTTGGGTATATACCCAGTAATGGGATTGCTGGGTCAAATGGTATTTCTAGTTCCAGATCCTTGAGGAATCGCCACACTGTCTTCCACAATGGTTGAACTAGTTTACAGTCCCACCAACAGTGTAAAAGCTATTCTCCACATCCTCTCCAGCATCTGTTGTTTCCTGATTTTTTAATTATCACCATTCTAACTGGTGTGAGATGGTATCTCATTGTGGTTTTGATTTGCATTTCTCTGACGACCAGCGATGACGAGCATTTTTTCATGTGTCTGTTCACTGCATAAATGTCTATAAATGTCTTCTTTTGGAAAGTGTCTGTTCATATCCTTTGCCCACTTTTTGATGGGGCTGCTTTACTTTTTCTTGTAAATTTGTTTAAGTTCTTTTTAGATTCTGGATATTAGCCCTTTGTCAGATGGGTAGATTGTAAAAATTTTCTCCCATTCTGTAGGTTGTCTGTTCACTCTGATGGTAGTTTCTTTTGCTGTGCAGAAGCTCTTTAGTTTAATTAGATCCCATTTGTCTATTTTGGCTTTTGTTGCCATTGCTTTTGGTGTTTTAGTCATGAAGTCCTTGCCCATGCCTATGTCCTGAATGGTATTGCCTAGGTTTTCTTCTAGGGTTTTTATAGTTTTTATGTCTAACATTTAAGTCTTTAATCCATATTGAATTAATTTTTGTATAAGGTGTAAGGAAAGGATCCAGTTTCAGCTTTCTACATATGGCTAGCCAGTTTTCCCAGCACCATTTATTAAATAGGGAATCTTTTCCCCATTTCTTGTTTTTGTCAGGTTTGTCAAAGATCAGATGGTTGTAGATGTGTGGTGTTATTTCTGAAGCCTCTGTTCAAGGAAGGCAGTTTCTTATGAAAAAGGAAAATTGATTCAGAGTTCCTAGTCTAGACCCCAGAGGGTGGAACTAAGAGCTCTTGAGAACAACGCATTGGGAAACTATTCTGAGGGAGGCCAACCTAGGCACTAATGGAGAACTTGATCCTCAGAGGACCGGTAACAGTGCTTGGCTGGATTTCAGAATTGCTATGGACTAATGACTGCTATATGCCTTCCATTTCCGCCATTTTCAAACAGGCGTGTCTCCTGCAGTTATCCTATCCCTTTTTCAGCATTGTATGTTGTGTATGTAACTTCTCTTTTAGTTAACAGGTCTCCAGATGAAGAAAAGCTGCATCTGAAATGCCTCATCCACATCTAGGCCTAGTATAGATTACTAGATCCTGAAGTTTAACACTGATGCTATATAGAATAATAGTTTTGGAGAAAGGGAGTGAGTGTATTCTGCATGTCGTGTGTGTGTGTGTGTGCATGTATGTGCATATGTATACTGTTGTAGCTGGAGGATGGATCATGATAGACTATTTCCCAAATTGACTGGCAACAATTTCTCATCCCAGCTGCTACTTCCATCAAGGAGTATCTTTCCCTTCCTTTTGAATCTGGGCTGTCCTTGTGACTTGCTTGGCCAAGAGAATGCAGTGGAAGTGACATTCTGGGACTTCTGAACCCAGGATTTAAGAGACCCTGTATTTTCTGCTGTCTTCCTCTTGGGATCCAGGCACTGTATAAAGAAGCCTGGGTTGGACCACTGAATAATGAGCAACCACACAAAGAAAGGAGGCTCCTAACCATTTTTAGCTACTCTAGCTGAGGTCCCAGACATGTGGTAAGCTATCTTGGACATTCCAGACCCAGCCAAATTCACAGCTGAATAAAGCACGTCTGACCCTAGCTAATGTCATTGGGGAGCCGACCTGTCCAGCTGTGCCCTTCCCCAATTGCAGAATTGTGAGGAAATAAATGGTGGTAGTTGTTTTGAGCCACTAAGTTTTAAGCGGCCCCCATGGTATCAGTTCAGGTCAGACATGTGCTTTATTCTGCTGTGAGTTTGGCTGGGTCTGGAATGTCCAAGATGGCTTCCCACATGTCTGGGACCTCAGTTAAAGTAGCTAAAATGGTTAGGGACTCCTTTCTTGCTGTGGTTGCTCATCATTCAGTGGTCCAGCCCAAGCTTCTTTACACAGTGCCTGGGTCCCAAGAGGAAGACAACAGAAAGTTTTAAGGTAATTTATTATGCAGCAATAGATAATTGAAAACAATTATCCAGCCAGGTGCAGTGGCTCACACCTGTAATCTCAGCACTTTGGGAGGTGGAGGTGGGCAGATCCCTTCAGGCCAGGAATTCAAGACCAGCCTGGCCAACATGGCGAAACCCCGTCTCTACTAAAAAAACAAAAAATTAGCCAGGCACAGTGGTGCATGCCTGTCATCCCAGCTACTCGGGAGACTGAGGCAGGAGAATTGCTTAAACACCTCGGGAGGCGGAGGTTGCAGTGAGCTGAGATTGTGCTACTGCACTCCAGCCTGGGCAACAGAGCGAGACTGTCTCAAAAACAAAACAAAACAATTATCAAATGTCAGGGTATCTTCCTATTGCTTTACCTTTACTCTGTGGGCTGGGAAGAAGTTGTAACAATGTCAGCCATAGAAGTCAAGTTTTCAATGCAGACTAAATTCCATGACAGTGAACACTATATGCCATAGTAGTCACTGCTCTGTCCATAGAGCTTAGAACAGTATTGCCACTTAATAGGCTCCCAAATATTTGTTGATTGAATCATTAAATAAATGAATTGAGATAAGATCCCCTACCCTCAAGAGGATGGACAAAAAAGATTCTTTAAATGGAGTGTGGAGTCTTAATAAGGGAAAAGAAGTAAAGAAAAAGCAGATAAGCTCTAAGTCTGCCTTTTTTCATGGTCCAGGGCTATTTGTCCCATGCATTTTCTCTTTGAAAAAGGTGCTGTTTTTTGTGATGCCTTAGAGGCCAGAAGGATGTTTTGAAGGGGAAAATTGTAGGAGTTAGGCAGAGCAGGGTTTTGGCTCCTTCTCAATGTCCCTCTACCTAGACAAATTCGGGCTATTCTGCAGAGGTTGCAGTGAGCCATGATCACGTCACTGCACTCCAGCCTGAGGAACAGAGGGAGACTCCGTCTCAAAAAAAAAAAAAAAAAAAAAAAAAAAAAAAAATTTCGGCCTACTCTATGAAGCACCTGGTAGGTGTCCCAATATTTTCTGGTATATGGGAATTACCTTTTTCTATTATTGGAAGGTCTAAAAAGCAAACAATGTGCTCCATATGGCTAGAGTTAGTATTAAGGGGACCAAGTAGAATAATTGGTAGCTAGTGTTAGCCTGGAGACTAACATAGTCAAAGCTGTCTTGTCATGTTATGTCTTTTTTATTTGTATTGCTCCACGGTCCAAGACAAAATTTCTGAACGCCACTTGGACACAGTGAGTACCTGGTCTGCTCTATTGTTCTCAGGAGCAACCAACTCAACCCTTATTTCTCTGAGAATGATGATTTCATACAGCACATCTCTCTACCAAGATGTGAAAGATGACACCATGGCATCTGAAATAGCTTCAGGAGAGATTTGGGACATGGGAAGCTTGTAGACAATAATGGAAAATTCTCTTTTAGAATATAGTTACTTGTATGACCCACAGTAGCGCCTTTTGGAGAATGTCTTAAAATTATCTTTATTGAAAGAACAATAATGTTTGTTATTAGGATAAATGAAATAAGGGGAAAACCTCAGACCCTTGGAACAATGGGTTTACATTCAATCCAATGATTATTATGTTTTTATATTCTGTATTATTTAGAAAACAGTAGTTAAACAGACAGAAATACAGAAGATTGTTTAAAAATTAAAGCTATTGAGTTAGATCCCTTTTTGAAAGGTCAGCGTATGGGAGATGAGAAAGGCACTATAGAGATCAGAGTGTTTACACAAAAGACATCTTAGCAGATGACCTACAAAGAGCACATCAAGTATTTATATCATCCACATCAAGTTGCTGGTCATTTCGCTTATCAAAGAAAATAAGAAAGAAATTTTCTTTCGACATTATTTTGGTGTAGTAACAATAGAGTTTTGGAATCAGCTGTTAGAAGCGATAATTAAAGCTAGTTTACCATGCTTACTAATCAATCTACATAGTCACCCTGAAGCTTTATATAATTGTCCCTTTGTTACAAGCTTCTACTTCTCCCTATGGTATTCTGGTTCTGAATCCAGACAGGTAAAGAACTAAGTATGGCCGGGCGCGGTGGCTCACGCCTGTAATCCCAGCACTTTGGGAGGCCGTGGCGGGCAGATCACGAGGTCAGGAGATCGAGACCATCCTGACCAACATGGTGAAACCCTGTCTTTACTAAACTACAAAAAATTAGCCCGGCATGATGGTGTGCGCCTGTAGTCCCAGCTACTCGGGAGGCTGAGGCAGGGGAATTGCTTGAACCTGGGAGGCAGAGGTTGCAGTGAACCGAGATCATGCCACTGCACTCCAGCCTGTGAGACTCCGTCTCAAAAAAAAAAAAAAAAAAAAGAAAAAAAAAAAAAGAACTGAAGTGCTTGGAGACCAGTGTATTGTAATATCTATACAGCCAAGCAGGTATTTTCAACTGAACTTTAAAAAAGTACTATTTTTGAAACTTTCTTTAGTTTAGATAGGGCCAGCCATTTGGGTAGAAAGGAAAAGAAAAACAAAAAATTGGAAAAGGATGCATCAGTATTTCTTTCAGAAACAACTTAACACTAGGAACAGAAGGAGGATTTTATTCACCAACTCCTAATAACCACCTGATGTTGCTGTTGGGCTGGCCAAATATCTGCCAACATTGATGATCCTTTCATTCACCACTAGAGAGAAGTAGAGGGACCTGATGTTTAGAGAAGCAGTAAAACCCATTTCCCATTTTCTTTCTTCAGCCGGATGGAAGTACTTGGAGGCTGGTCTCATATTCTAGCACTTTAGTGCTGGTGATGCAGATTATCTCTGCTCCAGAGTAACTCTGTGCCATGGAATCCAAGAGGATTCTGTCGCACCAGGACAGGAATGCACCCTTGTTTCATTTGCTTCCATGAAAGCAGATTTCAGAGATTCTCAGATGCTATGAGACTAATTGTCACTTAGGGTAGGCTCCAGGGGAGGGACAGAGAAGGGCAGTGCTAATAACAGGGACTCTGGAGACAAGATCAGCAATCTAAGAAACAAATGTGAGACATTTTACCCCTCCCTAATCTACTCCCCTTTTAAAAGTTCATCTTCATTTTCCCTTTTTCTACCACGCAGTAATTGATAATTAAACACAGCTCTGGTTTTTACCATGCAATCTAGTAGAACACCTAGACATCAGGAACTCCTTATCTTTGGTTATTTATACAATAATGAAATCTGTAGTTCACGCTAGGCTGTGTGGACAGTATCTGCATCTCTGGAAATCAACTGGAGGCCTTTCTCTTACTCTTTTCCGGTTGCTTTCCATTTCCTTTTCCACTGTGGTCCTTGCCTTTCCCAAGCTGACCAGAACTATGCACAAAACCAGTCTTCAATAAATATCAACACTGAAGCTTCAGCAGGTTGTTAACTCCTGCACAGCTATCTTAAATGCTGTATATAAGTGCAAAGTTTTATGGAGCCTCAGAGGTCTCTAAGAACACTGTAAATATCCCAGGTTTAATTAGTAGTCCCGGAGTTAGGTAATGGCCTGTGGCTTTCTGCGCTAGGTCTCTTGAGGTTTCTAGTCTTCAGAGGTTGCCTGCAACTATGATGTGCACATATACAGTACTCTTTCTCAAATACAGCATAAACCCTCTTTAGACTTTGCTAGGCACTTACAATTATTGAACACACATGCAGATTGATTCTCATTCTCTCAAAGTTTGAAAAACAACTCAGTGCTTCAACCTAGGTCTCGTTAGATATTTTTTGACTCAAATTGTCGTCTGTAGTTCTACTTCCTAAGGGAAATGAAAAAACAATAAATTCCCAGACTGGTGTTGATGCTCATTCTCTTTAAGCGGGTCGACTACTTGCTTTGTAGATCCTTGACGGGTGGGGTGCGGGGTAGGAGTGCGATCCAACTCTCAGCATTTCCGAATCAGCTCTCTCACGGTGACAGGTCAGCCCAATCGGGGCTGTAAACAGACTTGACAGGTTTGTTCTGGGCTGACGGCCATTGACTAGGTTCTCAGACCAGATAAGTCACTTGGCTGAGTCCACAGTAGGTGGGGCGCGCTCACCAGCTCAGGGGTAGTGACTGGACGTTTGTTGCAACATCGGAGAATGCACGCTCTGGGCTGCAGCAGGAGATACCCTCAAGCACAGAACCAAAAGGGTTCACCCTAAGCGGCAGGGCATCAGCGATGGAGAGGCCCGAGAGCCCTAGCGCCCAGCTCCTTTTCCCACGTTTGGGAAGGCGCAGAATAGGTCGATGTAGAGCAAGGAGTGAGTCTCAGGTCTCAGTCCTTTGGCTTGCTCTTAGGGTAGCAGGCGAGGAGTGGCACCAGTTTGGGGACTCTCTCCCCGCGTTCTGTAAGAATCGGCGGCAGCCAGCAGGCGGGGAGGCGGGGGCACGTGTTTGGATGTGGGTGCTTGTGTAACCAGTTCCCCAAGCGCCAGCCCCGACAGCGCTCCTTCGGGAGGCTGGTCCGAGCCCCTGTTTCCGCCGCGGCGCAGGAAGGGTTGGGGTTCCGCTGCCTGCACCAGGCAAGAGCACCCCGAGCAAAGGAAGAAGACGACTTGCCTCCGGAGCTATCACTGGGGAGTGGGAATTTGGAAAGTTCCCCAACTAGGGACACACGTGACCTCCTTCGGAAAGTAGTTCCGACTGTGGCCCGTGTATCCTTCCACCTCCTTTTGAACCCTCCTAGGTCTCCTCGCCCCGCCCACTCGCTGGGCTGCAGCTTCCTACCGTTCCGTACTTTCCACTCAACCCGGTAACCCCAAACGTGCACGGTCCGGCCGGGGCGCGCGGAGCCTGGCCCCGGGCGATCCATCCTGCCGGGTTTTCACGGCGGCCAAGGGGGGGCGGGGCTAGGTGGTCTCTGAGAACCGAGCTTGACTCCGACGCCGCGAACCGACCTGGAGCCCGAGGGGAAAGATGCTCGACTCTCTTGGGGGCACCGGAGCGGGCGCAGGAGAGGCCTGCGGGGTGCGTCCCACTCACAGGGATCCTCTTTCAGTTCATTTAGATAGGTGCCCTTTGGGCCCTTGAAATTCAACGGCTATGTGTTCACGTTCAGCACGCTCGGCTGAGAGCTTTCATTTTTAGGGCAAACGAGCCGAGTTACCGGGGAAGCGAGAGGTGGGGCGCTGCAAGGGAGCCGGATGAGGTGATACACGCTGGCGACACAATAGCAGGTTGCTCTTTGTGCTAAGACTGACACCATGAGGACACAGATTTGGGGGAAGGGGGAATCTCTAGGCAAAGGCTGTTACAGTCAAATCTCTGCGAACGATTGTGATCCGACAGCGGTGCAAAAGGAAAGAGCGAATGCAGTCCACGCCGCGGAAATCTAGGGGTAGAGGCAAGGGGGGAGGGTATTCCCCTTGCAGGGACCGTCCCTGCATTTCCCTCTACACTGAGCAGCGTGGTCACCTGGTCCTTTTCACCTGTGCACAGGTAACCTCAGACTCGAGTCAGTGACACTGCTCAACGCACCCATCTCAGCTTTCATCATCAGTCCTCCACCCCCGCCCCACAACAGCCTACCCTGCCTCCGGCTGGGTTTCTGGGCAGAGGCCGAGGCTTAGCTCGTTATCCTCGCCTCGCGTTGCTGCAAAAGCCGCAGCAAGTGCAGCTGCAGGCTGGCGGCTGGGAACCGGCCCGAGCAAGCCCCAGGCAGCTACACTGGGCATGCTCAGTAGAGCCTGCGGCTTGGGGACTCTGCGCTCGCACCCAGAGCTACCGCTCTGCCCCCTCCTACCGCCCCCTGCCCTGCCCTGCCCTCCCCTCGCCCGGCGCGGTCCCGTCCGCCTCTCGCTCGCCTCCCGCCTCCCCTCGGTCTTCCGAGGCGCCCGGGCTCCCGGCGCGGCGGCGGAGGGGGCGGGCAGGCCGGCGGGCGGTGATGTGGCGGGACTCTTTATGCGCTGCGGCAGGATACGCGCTCGGCGCTGGGACGCGACTGCGCTCAGTTCTCTCCTCTCGGAAGCTGCAGCCATGATGGAAGTTTGAGAGTTGAGCCGCTGTGAGGCGAGGCCGGGCTCAGGCGAGGGAGATGAGAGACGGCGGCGGCCGCGGCCCGGAGCCCCTCTCAGCGCCTGTGAGCAGCCGCGGGGGCAGCGCCCTCGGGGAGCCGGCCGGCCTGCGGCGGCGGCAGCGGCGGCGTTTCTCGCCTCCTCTTCGTCTTTTCTAACCGTGCAGCCTCTTCCTCGGCTTCTCCTGAAAGGGAAGGTGGAAGCCGTGGGCTCGGGCGGGAGCCGGCTGAGGCGCGGCGGCGGCGGCGGCACCTCCCGCTCCTGGAGCGGGGGGGAGAAGCGGCGGCGGCGGCGGCCGCGGCGGCTGCAGCTCCAGGGAGGGGGTCTGAGTCGCCTGTCACCATTTCCAGGGCTGGGAACGCCGGAGAGTTGGTCTCTCCCCTTCTACTGCCTCCAACACGGCGGCGGCGGCGGCGGCACATCCAGGGACCCGGGCCGGTTTTAAACCTCCCGTCCGCCGCCGCCGCACCCCCCGTGGCCCGGGCTCCGGAGGCCGCCGGCGGAGGCAGCCGTTCGGAGGATTATTCGTCTTCTCCCCATTCCGCTGCCGCCGCTGCCAGGCCTCTGGCTGCTGAGGAGAAGCAGGCCCAGTCGCTGCAACCATCCAGCAGCCGCCGCAGCAGCCATTACCCGGCTGCGGTCCAGAGCCAAGCGGCGGCAGAGCGAGGGGCATCAGCTACCGCCAAGTCCAGAGCCATTTCCATCCTGCAGAAGAAGCCCCGCCACCAGCAGCTTCTGCCATCTCTCTCCTCCTTTTTCTTCAGCCACAGGCTCCCAGACATGACAGCCATCATCAAAGAGATCGTTAGCAGAAACAAAAGGAGATATCAAGAGGATGGATTCGACTTAGACTTGACCTGTATCCATTTCTGCGGCTGCTCCTCTTTACCTTTCTGTCACTCTCTTAGAACGTGGGAGTAGACGGATGCGAAAATGTCCGTAGTTTGGGTGACTATAACATTTAACCCTGGTCAGGTTGCTAGGTCATATATTTTGTGTTTCCTTTCTGTGTATTCAACCTAGGGTGTGTTTGGCTAGACGGAACTCTTGCCTGGTTGCAAGTGTCAAGCCACCGATTGCTTTCTTAGGCTATCTATATGGTCTCTTCCTGAGGGCTATTGTCCGTTAATACAGAATACAGTACACTGTTAGTGGATTAGCGAGCTCGGTAATCCGGTCTCCTAAATGAACAAAAAAGTAGACGCTTTTTGAGGTTGAGCATATTTCGATTAAATCTTGGCTTAGGCCCTAGATCAAGGGTTTAGATCAGAATAAAATGAAAATTAGTGTTGCACGTACGCATATTGCATCAGAATCTTGCAGTGATTGTTTTAGTTTCCTGAGTTGCATTGATAGATTCTTTTAAAATATGACTGATTTGCATAACTTTAGAAGCAGAATCATTTTCAGTATATATGGTGCACATTGAGGGCAAAAAGTAGTTTTGTTAATGTTTAAACTTAAGTTACCTACAACTTTGAACTGTATGTAGAAGTTTTGTAGTTTGAAGTCAATAGTGCCATAATATACCTTATAAGGCGTTCTTACTAGATCTTTGTTATATTTACCTTTTTCTCTCCCTATGGGGTGATGTAGGATAGTGCTTGAAATTTGCACTTCAGTAGCATTTAATGTTCAGTGCTCTTGTCATAAACATAGAATGGATATTGAGTAGTTTCTGATCCCAGATGGTAATGTGTAGGTTCAAGGGTATTGTGTGTAGCAAGTGAAGATTGCAGAAATAAAACTTCAGTTCATGCTTGAAATTTAAGTATTGTTGTGATGCCAGAATTGCTGCTCACCGTTTTTAGGTTTCAGGTCCTCTGACACCTTTTGGTATCGTTAATTTTACTGATTTGTGTAGAATGTCAGTTGTATTTTACCAGCTAATATCTAGAAATGCTGGCAAGAGGGGTTTACTCCAGCTTTAGATTGTAGGTATGTTAGCTTTTTTCATACAGTGTATTAAATTTACTGAGTCAGCTTGCTGAATAAGACAGAAGCCCAAGAATTTTAACAGTGTGTAGCTTTAGTTGTCTAAAAGTTAGGCCTTCGGGCTTCAAAAGTTAGTGGTCATCGAAAAGCATTAATCTTTGCAGTTTCAGGTACAACACATTGGTTTTGATTAGGGATGGGGATGGGGCCCTCTTTTTGCAGAATGGGGAAAGTATTGACAGGAATTGAGAGCTATTGGTAGGCCAGTGTATAAGGTATGTGAAAACAGAATTAAGTTATTGGTCTGAAGTGACTGAAGCATTTAGGCTCTATCAAGGCCTAAAATTTGGTAATATGAGTTTGGTAATGCGAATTGTGGCAGTGGACAATATTTAGTTAAAATTATGTAATTGCATAAGTACTAGCACAGTATTTTTAATAAAAGTTATTTCTTAGCAAATGTCAGTTGCATTTTGTCTAAAGGTAGAGTGACACTACAGTGTCTATATGTCCTGCTAAAAATTGTGGGGAATATTTTTTTTTAAGACAGCGTTTATATCGGGAGAGGTTTTATTCCGTTGGATTATGTTAGCTGCATATAAATGTGCACAGTTAATTTTGCCCAAGTTTTTGTTTTGAAATGAATGTAAAACTTACTGAAGAAGTAGCTTCCCAAAATTTAGTTTTCTGTTAAGCCAAAAATATTATTTTAAAAGAGTATTTGCAAATTTTGAAGTTGACATTAATTGAGAATGTTACTAAGGCTAAACTGGACCCGCTTGCCCAGAAGATAATTATGGAAAAATTCTTTTGTGACTTCCAAAGCAGTCTACTATTAGCATGAATTACTGACAGTCATCCAAATATATAGGAACAAAAAATTAAATGTTTATGTAACTTTGAAAAAAAAGCCTTTGAAGAAAATAATTGAATGCTGTCTGGGAGACAGATTTCTTTCAGCACTTAAAGTACATAACACACTACTTTTACTTTTCCCACTTGATTTTAAATTATCAGGGTTATTAAGACCTTAAAATTATTTTACCAGGTTTTTACATGTGAGCTGTGACATGACTGGCATTTTCTTTGATTTCAGCGTATGTTGGTCTCTACACATGAAATTTGTGTGACTTAAAACTTTCTCTAAAACTGTACTTTTAGTTATGATATGCATAGAAAGCAGTATCAAATATTGCGTCAAATGACTAATAACACTTAATTTCTAGAGTTGTGGTTTTATTGAGCCAAAAGTTGATATGAAAAAAAGTCAGTAAGGAAAGTCAGTGAAGTGCTTGCTTTTTTGATAATTGCACTCCCAATAATTTTGATATTCCAACGTACTTGGTTTGCTTGTTTTCACGTTAATGTTTTCTGTTTATTGGAGTGGGAAGGCATTAAAATTGTCATTGAAGACTTTGTCTTTGACATGTTGTAGTATTTATTTCAGTAACTAACCTGTGAAAAGTTAAATTCCTTTATGAAAGTAGTGATTGGAGTATTTTTATCTGATAAAGAAAGATTAATAATGAAGCCATTTCTCCGAGGAAAATTGAGGACAATAATTCAGTTTTAAAATATTATCGCAAAATTAAATTATTCTAAAAATTTGTTAGTAGGGTTATATGCTTAATATTAGTCTGAAATATAGTGCTGAATTTGAGACTATAGAAAAATTAAGTGTATTTAGGGTATGTGGAAACGTTAGGCTTCTGTTGTATTTTTATTGTTTGGTAGATTTGCCTCTTTTCAAATAAATGTTCACAGGGAATACTTTTAACTTGTAGAGAGTACAGTGACTATTGAAGTTACCTAAATTACCTCAAGGTAAGTGATTACTGAAATTAATCATGAGGGTTTTAAAAAGTATTCTATTCACAACATTTATTTTACATTGTTTTGTATCTGCTAAGTTATATTTCCTGAAAAACATGACTGGACCACCTAATTGCTGTATGATAACTTACAAACTTCATTTTTCATAGTGCTTATTCAAGTGTAAAGCACAACTGAAAGGAGTAATGTACAGTTTATATGAGGAAAAAGGAATTTTATTGCTGCCAGTGTAAAAGTTTGCACAGCAGTATAGTCATCAATGCAGATTTACATTGCTTATAATATACTAAGTAAATACTAAATGATTAAAGATAATAAAATATGGTGAGGTATAACCACCTTCATTTTAAACTTAGTTTTAGAAGATAGTAAAGAAAGATTCCTTTATTACCTTTTTAGAATTTTATTTTTAATAACATGGGAAAGGCAACTGGTGATATTTTAATTTTTGTATGGAACAGTGCATCTGCTTTCTCATAGCCACATAAAATACATAAACTTCTTAGTGTTATGAAATGGCTTACTTTTTGGAAGTGAAGAAGTCTTCAATTCTTATTTTCTAATGTTATTTTGAAATTTGCCTCCATTTGCTGTTTGTTCATTTGGTGATAGCGCAACACTTAAAAAAATATTTTAAGCCGCTTCTGAAGTAATCACTTCAGTGACTTTTAATGGAGGAGTATTTGTTATGGGAAATTCACTTCACAAAGTTTTAACATTAATTCACTTGAAGTAAACGTGCTATTTTTAAATTTTCATCTCAATCTTTTAAGTAAGACGAAAGCTTAGGAAATCACTTTTATTATTGATATTGTGTGTGACTTCAGAGTTTGTAAAGAGAATTGTAGAAGTGTTGCATGCATATGACAATTTTCTGCTTAATTGAAATGTGAGGCCTCTGCCATACTACAAGGATTTAGCTTCCAGAAAATGTAATATTAACATAGCTTAAGAAATGTATTTTTTTTTTTCTGTAGAAACCGTTGGGTTAAACAAACAGTTCAGAAGTTTTATTACATGGAACCCATTAGTTCTTAATCTTGTTACCTTTTTCTTCATTTTTTCTGTTAAACTTGATTTTCACAGTCAGCATTGAAGAATTCATCTTGTGGCCTGAATTCATTAAGAAAAGATGTTAGGATTTGTTCTGAAGATAGTGACTTAGGAAATTTGTGAGACTGGGGTCAGTCAGTTCTGTTTTACAATTGCTTTCTATTTGGTAGCTTTGAAATTAATTTAGTTGCTTATCAGAGAGAATAATGTTGAGGTTAGACTAACCTTAAATTGGTAAGGCTTTGCTGAGCAAACTGATAACTGTAAGTCTTTTATAGGGTGCATTACTGCCACATATACGTTCTTCCATAGGTGGTTAAAAGTATATTGGTCTGTGTTTGGTGATTCTCTTTGTACATATTGAGTATATGCATTCACTAATGTAAAATAATTTGCCAAGAAAGGTGAAATTAGTATATTGTACTTGACTATTCACCTTTCCCTTAGTTTTTTGAATTTTTTTCATTGGTTGCAGAGGAAGTATTAGCAATTTAATTCTTTTAAAATAATTTGCACTGGAATAAATAAGTATCGGCAAATATAAGAAGAGTAACATAATTTAAGGGTGAATTAATTTTATTTGGGAAGTTTTAGTTCTGTATAGTTAAGGCAGATTCTTCATTTGCAACAGTTGACATTGGGACATGTGTGAACATCTTCAAGGTATTAGGACATCTTCAAGGCATTACTTTTTGGCAGTGTTGAGAATTTTTTTTTTTTTTTTTTTTTTTTTTGAGATGGAATCTCGCTCTATCGCCCAGTCTGGGGTGCAGTGGCAGGATCTCGGCTCACTGGAACCTCTGCCTCCCAGGTTCAGGCGATTCTCCTGCCTGAACCTCCCAAGCAGCTGGGATTATAGGTGCATGCCACCACGCCCAGATAGTTTTTGTACTTTTAGTAGAGATGGGGTTTTACCACCTTGGCCAGGCTGGTCTCAAACTCCAGACCTCAAGTGATCCGCCTGCCTCGGCCTCCCAAAATGCTGGGATTACAGGCGTGAGCCACTGCGCCTGGCCAGTGTTGAGAATATTGAGAGATGGATATTGTAGCTGTACCTGCCATCAAAAGAATTTTCTTGACCTCCACATAGTGTGAAAAAGAAGACTGTTTACACATTATATTTTAAGTAATTATACACATAATTATTATCAGTACTCACCACTTCAAATATGAACAGTGAATCTAACCAGTGTTTGATTTCTCTGTGTGTGTATGTGTATACAAAGTTAGCAAACCTTTTATCTTAATATTTATTAAAAAACGAATTTTTGTTTCTTTAAAGAAAAGACTACCTTAGAGAATATTGTTCTATAGTTTTTAAATATGGTCAGATCTATTTTAAATTATGTTAAAATTTTGAGTATTACGTTTATCTATACTTTTAAGCATATATACATTGTTTCATTTTAGATTTTAGGGAGGCAGTGTGGGCTCTGGAGCCAGACTGCTTGTTTTGTAATCCTGGATCTTCCATTTAGTAGCTGGATGACTTTGAGTAGGTTATTTAGATTTTCTCAATCTATTTTATCTGTAAAATGGGGATGATAATGGAACCTACCGCATACGTTTATCTTGAATAGTAAGTGAGATAATAATAAGTAATTTCATTTAGCATAGTACCTGCCACATTGTAAATACTTAAATGGTAGCTACTGCTCTGAAAAACTGTAATTTCAGGTTATGTATGTAGGGAAATTATTTGTATTTTCATTTATGGTGTATGATTGTAACTGAATTTCCTCAGTTTGGGCCATGTTAGGATTTTGTTTCAAGTTATAAGTGTTTTTAAAAATAAGGGTATTCCTTTAGGAAGTCTGGGTATGACATGTCTGTGATTTTGCTGGTTCATCACAAATGGGAAATAAATCTCTGCTAACTCAAACTGTTGACCAAAGTAAAATTAATTATGCCAATCAAAAACTATTTGCTTTAAAATATAAAAGGCAAAAACTTCCTATTAGCATAATGAAGTAGAATTTTTAAACTTTGTTATAATCTTAAATTTTCTTTAGTGTTGAAGATAGGTCAACTTAACTATCATACATTTTTATTCACATAAAGTAAACTCTGCCTCAAATGTAATAAACTTAATATGAGTTATGTAAACTTTGGTCAATAGAGGTATATTTTTTAGCATTTCCTTTTGAAAATTTCAGCCTTTTGAGGGAGTCTTGCAACTGAATGTCAAGTTACATTTATTACAATAAAATGGACACTTAATATAATCTGTAATGCATTAACATAATATGGGAACTTTTAAAGTATTCAGTCTCTGTATTATTGAGTCCTATTTCCACATTTGGCCAGGATTCTCAATATGATTTAGGCCCAAGACGTGGGAAGAAAGAAGTAAAGAACTAAAGGATTTTTTTCTTCATTTTTTTAATTGAATATGGGGAAAGATGGAATAAGCTTATCTGTCCAGTAAAGGCCATTATGTGTACATAGGGATTATTATTTTTCCCCCCCTTGGGCTGTACTGATTTCCCAGATGTACCACAGCACTCTTAGTAGTGAAGCACTTGACTTCTAGTGAGTGGATTTTTTGTGTGTGTGTTTTATATTGCAGAGTGAATACACTCTGTCTGATACTATGTGACTTTCTGATTATGTGATTTTTATGCATTTTATGTGTTTTGTAAACTAGCTGTATTTTTGGTCCATGTCTAGGTTGTAGAATTGAATTGTGCATTTTGGCATCTGAGCACAGCTGAGTTTTCTAAATCAATCTCTCTCCTTGCACCTAGTTTTTGCTTTAGATCACTACCTAAGACTTACTGTTGATTTAATATTAGAGCACTTAAGCATAGCTTTGACTTTTATTTCCTTTGATTTTTGTAGATTTTCAGGCTGAAGTACAATAAGGTTCTCTGTTCTTTACTAGTAATTGCAAAGATTGTATTCTGTGAATTTTATTTGTTTAATACTTTTGATCTTTTGAAGAGGATGTAATTATTTAAGGTATTATGAAATGCATTGTGATTTGAATTAGATACTCTTTGGAGATGGAGTTTTGCTGTTGTTGCCCAGGCTGGAGTGCAATGGTGTGATCTCGGCTCACCACAGCCTCCGCCTCCTGGGTTCAAGCAATTCTCTTGCCGCAGCCTCCCAAGTAGCTGGAATTACAGGCATGCGCCACCACGCCCGGCTAATTTTATATTTTTTTTTTCAGTAGAGATGGGGGGTTTCTCCATGTTGGTCAGGCTGGCCTCGAACTCTTGACCTCAGGTAATCTGCCTGTCTCAGCCTGCTAAAGTGCTGAGATTACAGGCATGAGCCACTGCGCCCGGCCTCAGATACTCTTTTAATTAGATGCGTTTAAAAATTTAACCCACCATTGCTGGCATGAATAGATGTATTTTTAGAGTGATTCATAAATATCGTATACATGTTTAAAGTTACAAACTTTTTGCTTATTTCAAAATGCAGGATTCTTTTCCATTTAAAATTCCCTCTCTTTGTGAGACTTCTTTTTGAGTATTCTGGTTACTCTAAACTGATTGGAGATGAAATTAGATAGAATTGAAAACTGTACTTTTAAAATGAAATTTTGGGGATGTCATTAAGCTTGATTTTTTAGGTTTTTTTTTTAGTGTGTATTATAAATTATTTTACACTGATTGTCAGCGATAAAATGGAATGCCTGGGATTTTTTAAAATTTATTTTATTCATTTTTATAAGGTAAAAACAGTGTTTTGCTAGGCTTAATTTGACCATGTTGTAAAATTTATTGTATACCTTGAAAGAATCATTTATGAAAGATACTGAATTAGCTAATATATACTCTGTCTTATGTAGTTTTTGATTAACAATACACTTTTTAAATCATTAGCTCATTTGATTTTGCAAAGAAGAACAGGTAACCTAAGAGGCAGACAGAACAGGCATTACTTTTATTTTTCTTTCTTTTTTATTTTATTTATTTATTTATTTATTTATTTTTTGCAGCTTAGGAATTGTAGCTCCAGTGGAATCAGTATCTTGTTAATGGCTAGTGAAAGACTGAGTCTGAAGAAGGATGCAGGACTTTTTTGGCACTTGGTGCAGTATTTTTCCCATTATGTTACATGAGTGGTTCTTAAACTTCAGTGTGTTAGAACAACCTGAAGGGCTTATTAAGCTATGGATTGCTTACTCCACCCTCAGAGTTTCTGATTCAGTAGGTCTGGATTGGGACCTGAGAATTTTTATTTCTTAGAAGTTTTCAAGTGATGCTGATGCTGGTGCTCTGGGGATCACACTTTGAGGACCACCAATGAACATTATCTCCCACCAAGCAAACCCTTAACATGTTATACTCCTTTAGGTTATTAGAATTTATACATGCATTATTTCATTTGACCTGTAAACTCTAAGTAACTTTGCATGGAAAATGTTATCCTGATTTTATAGACGAGATAGTGAGTTTAGAAAGGCAGTATGGTGGAATGGAGCATAGATTTGGAGTTGGCTAGACCTAAAGTCCAGATTAAATCTCTGCTCAAGGCTGGGCGTGGTGGCTCATGCCTGTAATCCCAGTGCTTTGGGAGGCCAGCGTTGGCAGATTGCTTGAGTCTGGAAGTTCGAGACCAGTCTGGGCAACATAGGCAGACCCTGTCTCTACAAAAAAAAATACAAAAATTAGTCGGGTGTTATAGTGCGCATTGGTAGTCCCAGCTACTGAGGAGGCTGAGGTGGGATCACCTGAGACTGGGACTTTGAGGCTGCATTGAGCTGTGATTGGGACACTGTACTCCTGCCTGGGTGACAGAGTGAGACCCTCTCTCAAAAATAAATAAATAAATACATCCCCGCTCAGCCACTTATCAGTTACGTAGATACACTGCCTAACCTTAGTGAACCCTGTTTCGACAACTCCAAAATGGGAGTAAAAATCCTAAACTTGTACAGTGGTTTTTTAGTTTTGTTAAAAGTACAGGTGAGGTTTTTTTCAGAGTATTGGTTGCCATCTGAGAGTGATCCCCTTTCACCTCCTCTAGGACTTTTAGCATTTTCTGGAGACATTTTGGTGGTCACAGCTGGGGTGGTAGAGTGTGCTATTGGCTAGGGGCTTGAAGCCAGTGATGCTGCTTAACATCCTATATGGCACAAGACCCCTCCCCATCAACAAAGAATTATCTAGCCCAAAATGCTGTGTAAAATGTCTGGTATATAATAAGTATAATATTTGATGAAAATCAGTACCTTTGCCCCCAGGTGTGATATTTAAGAAGGTCAACTTACTAAATCAGTGATGGAGTTAGTCCTAACATCTGGGTGTTCTGACTGCTGCTAGGCCAGTATTCTTTATATGATAATAAGAACTTTGTCCACAGAAGATATCCCTAATAACAAAAAAGGTTTATTTGAAGAGGACTCATGTGTTCTTTGGCTGATTGTGAAAGTGTTGCTTTGAACTTCTGTTAGAAAAGGTTGAAGATGTTTTCCGTAAGTGTTTTTAATACTGTACGTAGTATTCAGAAGGATGTTTAATTTTTTTTTTAATTTTGCTAGTAGTTTTTAAAGTAATCCTTTTTCCTTTAATTATGTAGTTGTTGAACTGTTGGGAGTTACTTTTCTCTTACTATTTTGTTATTTAATGTATTCTTTGACCTTATGCTTTTTTATTCTAAAGCTGCTTTTATTATAGTCAGATATGATGAAGTTAAATGTACAATGTAAAATTGCAAATTTCCAACGAGCTATACAAACTTAAATATTTCTAAGTAAAGAAAATAGGGCTGACTCTAAGGTTCTTTGATCCATGTGTTGCATTCTTTTCTAGGCCCTAAATTTGCTATGCCAGCCTGTTGAATTAAAGTGCTTTATTTATCTAAATTAGAAACTTGTATTAAAGTGAAGTTTTAGAAAAAAAGAAACAAAATCGGAATGGAGTTTTAGGTTAGCCCAGAGATGGGAAGATGCCAAGAAGGTAGCTTTAGTGGATTCTGAATTTTTTGGTTTTGTTTTGTTTTTAGGGCAGGCAAATGTAATTACAAAAGGGTTCTAGGAATAGATTGCTGTGATTTTTTTTCTGTTTGCATGATTTTACAGTTTGCTTTGCCTCTCACTTTTGAATGCAGAATAAAATGTCAAGGCCTTATTTTTTTTTAAATTCTTAAGAAATTTAAGATTTGACTGTTAATTCCTTTTGAAATATGGGATATTTTGAGATACCAATTATTTAAGACAAATAGGACTCATTGTTACAATTCAGTTGAATAAGGCTTATGATGTTTATTTCAGTATATGAATGAAAACTATGTGCTTATTGTACTTAAGAAAATTTCTTTTATTAAAAACATGACTAAAGAGAATTTTAAAAATCACCCACTGTCCTACTTCTCTAAAACTTAATGTTTTCATATTAGCTTCCAGTTTTGTTCATATGCATATACTTTAAAACCTAGTTCATGGTGAACTTAAGAGGGTGTTCTTTTTAAAAAACAATTTCCATTGCACTTTGTCGTTGCCTTAATTAAATGGTGAAATCATCAGAAATATTTATTTTCCTATACTTATACATTTATTAAGCTTGTTTCCATTTTTTTATTTTGTGATTTTTTAAGTGGATTTAAGATAACCTAAACATTAGAGAGGATTTTCATGGTTTTGATTCATGAAATCATAATGTTATACAAACCTAACTGAAGTGTTAGAGCCTTGAAGATTTTTCCCCCGAATTACATATAGTAACTCTACTTGTATTTAATACTGAAAGCATATTTTACTTATTTAAGTGAGACAAAGTAAAATTTAGCTGAATACTTTAGATCTATCATTTCCTTTTCCTGTTGTAAGAACATTACATTGTGTTGAAATTAAAGTGGATATAGAAGGTAATTAGAATAAACTGCCACATCATTTTTATAGTAAAGTGGTAATAACACTATTGCTTTCTGTTTTTTTAATCAGAAGGAGTATGGGCTTATAATGATGTTACTGTTCCCTGAAGCATATTTTGAATGATACGGTTTATATTTGCACAGTTGCCCAGGTAATCATTGTGATATTAATTGATCAATTTGCTATTTATTTGCGTTTTAAATCAGTACTAGTATTTGTGCTTAAAAATTTTGCATATGTTTTATCAGATTTAATTTTTAAGTGTCAGATACTAAAACAAATAACCTTAACTTTATTAAATTATAATTTTTTATCATGAGGTGGTATTCATTTATTCATATAGTTAGAACAAAAAATATTTAAAATATTGAGGTAGAAACAAATTAGTCTCTTTTTAATTAAAAGCCAGATTACTTGTTAGAGTAACATTTTCCCAAATGAGGTAAAATTGTTGCGACTGTTAAACTTAAGGAAATTTTGATCTAGGTGTGGTATATACCTTCTTGTGGGGTGCTAATGAAAACAGGGATGGCAAAAATATTTTGTTTGTGAGTGTATGCATTTATGCTTTTTGACAACCTAAGAAACACTCTTACATCTGAGTATCTTTCATGGACTAGCTGTAGGAAATCTATATAAAATAGCTTAGTATACTGAAAGTATGACATAGTTTTACATATCTAGATTGTGGTTGTGATTATATATAATACTATAAAATATGCTAACGTGCTGCTTAATAATACTATTTGGATTTTTTTTAATACTGAAAAGGTCACACAGATTGTGATTATTGTGTAGTGTCCAAGAACTAAGGCCTACCATCTGTTACTCAAATGTATGAAAAAGTTAAGATAATTTAGTGATATAAGTGGTTTTGACACCACTGTTTTTGGAATAATCTAATTATGATTTTTATAAAGACTAATATCAAATTTTAAACGTTTGCAAAAATGAAACCTAATAGTTATACTGTTATTTATATTTTTCTATTACAATACAGATACTGGCTGAGAACTAAAGATTGTGTAATAAACGCCTGGCCTTCAGTCATTTGGTTTTTTTTTTCCCTCGATTGTTTGGATAGTTAACTGGACATCATGTTTTAACTTGAGAAATTAAGTTATACAAGATTTTGATATTTTAAACTAGTTTTCCTAACTGGTTGAGATATATAAGAATTTAGTATTACAGGACTCAATCAGGGAACTGATTTAATAAGAATTTCTTAAAAATTTGTTTAAATATTTTTCAAGTTCTTTTCTTCATCTTCTACAACTTAATTCTTGTCTGTATGCAAATGAGCTTCCCCATTTAAAATTTTGCTGTTGCATTTTAGGCCACTATAGAAGTTGTTTCTTTAATTTTCACTCACAAGAATTTGGTCTTACCAAATTGTGTAAATCTTTAAAATTGTGTATTTGGCTTAATATTATAGAATCTGATTGATTTAATCTACCTTGTTTCATTTAGTATGTTGACATTTTCTTGAGAAATTTGTTATGCCAAATGATTAACATAATAATATTTTAAGTTTAGATATGATTTTGAATTTACATTTTCAAATGCAACTTTGTGTCTGTGGCCTTTTTTTTTTTTTTTTTTTTACGAGAAACATCTTGCCAATTTTCAGATTAATCTGTGAGGAAAGTAGATTGGTTTACTAGACTCAGTTTGTAGACTTTGGTGAGAACTGAATTGGAGGCTATGAAAAAAATACCTTTTGGGCCTTTCTGAATAGACATATATACATAAATTATATCTCTTACATTAAGTGAGGCACATATGTAGGTGAGATTTTTACCTGAATATTAAAAGTTTAAAAGTCGTTACCTATTCTGTTTACTTAATAGTATTTAAAGGGTGTGAGAGGTGTTATGTGTTTCTGTCCCTTGTTTTTATTCCTATCCCTCCCATCTAACTGTTGGTACTCTTATCTTCCCAGGTATTAAACTTGTATGTTTTAAAAGCTTATTTACTTGTTGAAATGGTTAACTTAATTAGTTTTTTCTTTGAAGTTTCAGCCTAAATATTTTCTGTTTTTTTATATGTCCTTTAAATATGAAAATTCTACAGCTAATCATAATTAGTAATTGTACTTTTTCCCCTATTACAATAACTGGTTTCATAATAAAATGGTATCCCTTCAATAACAAGCATTTATAGTAGTTTATTAAAACTAAGGGTGTTATCTATTCAAACCAAGCAATGCAGACTTACTGTTGACTCTGTTAATATATTTTAAAATTGCATATTACTAAAATTTAAAATATGATTTTGACTAGTATTTTGGTGTATGTTATTTTAGATATTTTGATTATGCACTACTTAAGAATGAATTGTCAAGTATGATTATAAAGTTGATATAATAGTTAACCTTCAGTGGGAATAGGAATCATTTAATATTGTTAGATATTTGTATTATTAGAACAATCTCCTATGATTCTTACTAATATAGTAATGAATGACAGACAATATGTTGGCTTTCATATTTAAAAATTCACATGCATTTCTAGTTTATGTTTTTCTTCGACTAAAATTCTGCAGCACTTAGGCAAAGCTATTTTTACCAGTTGGAAAAAAAGTAAGTCATTTCCAACCAATTTTCCTGGCTTGTAGTATAGAATAAAGAGACTTGATTTTATTACATTAAAGCCAAATATAAAATGATGCAATCTAGCACACACTTGTTTGGAACTTTTCTCTTTTAAATATTCAGATTAAGAGGACGTTGAAAGGTAAATTTTTTTTTTTTTTTGAGACGGAGTCTAGCTCTGTCACCCAGGCTGGAGTGCACTGGCACGATTTCGGCTTACTGCAAGCTCTGCCTCCCAGGTTCATGCCATTCTCCTGCCTCAGCCTCCCGAGTAGCTGGGACTACAGGCGCCTACCACGGTGGCGCCCGGCTAATTTTTTGTATTTTTAGTAGAGACGGGGTTTCACCGTGTTAGCCAGGATGGTCTCGATCTCCTGACCTCGTGATCTGCCTGCCTCGGCCTCCCAAAGTGCTGGGATTACAGGTAAATTTTGATTGTTATTAGCAACTATAAAAGTTTTGCAGTTGGCTTATTGGAAAAAGAAAACCTCCTTGCCGGAGACGGAGACGCATTTGTATTAGAACTTTGTTTTCTGAGTACCTTACCTATAGTAGGTTTCAAATATTGGTGAATTAGTTGATGGTTAGGTCTGCATAATTACTGCGTATGGAAATTCTGGAACCCTATTTTTTCAAAATGCAGCTAATGTTGAGAGAATATGCACTAAATATTACTAGATCTTTGTTTTTCAAGATGCTGATATCCCTTAACATCTTCTGCACTTTACCTGTTTGAATATCTTTTTTGCTGTAAAAATTAGTGGCCTTATGTCTTTCTGCATAATTATAGAGTAGCCAAAACCTGTTTTAGGTTAATCACCTCTGGCAAAATAAATGATAAAAGCATAGCTTTTGTAAGCAGAATGATATTACAGAAGTTAACTTATAAATCTAAGTGTATTAAAGACACTTAGGAAATTTATGATAATGCTGGGTCAGCATTACAGTTTTAACTTTTTACAGTTTTTCATATGCTTTTTTTGTGATTTTGCTGTAGAAAATTAACAGTTGGCATTTGGCTTAGTTCAAGTATAATGCTGTTGACAAGTATATCTGACACGTCATTGAACTAATAATATTTTTGAAAGCTGATAGGTAAGTTATATCTATTTTGTTTCATTCGTCATTAGTGATCGGTCTTAGATGTTTTTAGCGAGAGCAAAACTGTAGAGGAATGTGTGTCTGTGTGTGTATATGTGTGTGTGTGTGTGTGTATTTTAACAGCAGGAGAGTTCTGAAACAGGAAACCAGTCTTATCATATTCATCCAGAGACCTAGGAAGAAGGTAATTGTTTGGTATACTCGTTAAAACCAGTTGGTTGGGCAACTTAAATTTTTAGAGGATCACAGATGTAGGCTTGAGCAGTTGTAATAGATGATTTCTTTTTTTTTCTTTCTTTTTTCTTTTTTTTTTGAGATAGAGTCTCTCTCTGTCATCCAGGCTGGAGTGCGGTGGCGCGATCTTGGCTTACTGCAACCTCTGCCTCCCAGGTTCAGGCGTTTCTCCTGTCTCAGCCTCCTGAGTAGCTGGGATTACAGGCGCATGCTGCCATGCCCGGCTAATTTTTTGTATTTTAGTAGAGACGGGGTTTCACCGTGTTCCCCAGGCTGGTCTCGAACTCCTGAGCTCAGGCAATCTACCCACCTCGGCCTCCCAAAGTGCTGGGATTACAGGCGTGAGCCACCGTGTCTGGCGATAGATTATTTCATAATTAACACCTGCTATGAAGAAAAATTGATTAAAATAGTTGAGAAGTCTAGTACACTCTCAGCTAATATACTAAATTATACTATGGATTTTAGAGTATTGTTAACATTATCAGTGACTTGATATCTTCCTGAGGTTCTAATTTGCTTAACTTTAAATAATTGGGGTTCAGATCACCTTGATTGTTCCCTTAAAGATTAAATTTTGTAAAACTGTGTGTAATTTTCCTGTATCTGGTTTGGATAGCTTTAAAAATGGTTCTTAAGTTTAATGAGTTCAACTGGGAAAAAAGTTAGTTCTATTTTAGATGTTGTGTCACTGGAAATTATGTTTCCCTGTTTGTTATATGCACATTATTACAAAGTTGTAATCAATGTTTTCATACTGTTCTCTGGTCTGTTTTTTTCACAAATACACTTTTTATTTGTCGCCAGGTACTTATTTTTAAAGCTATAGAGGTAATATTTCATCAGGTGAGGGTAACTACCATGGTTTGTTTGCTATACTGTGTTAGGGTTATTTTCGTTTTTTTTTTCTTTTATAAACTATAGTTGTGAATATGTTTATATAGTTTACTTTTGGTTTATTAGAATATATTGCTAGAGTGGGATTACAGGATTAAAGAGTGTACAGTATTTTAGTTTTTTTTTTTTTTTTACAAGTTGCAGATTTGTTGCCAAATGAACGAGTTTGTAGTATTGCTAACAAGGAGAAGAATTACTAGCAAGTCTTGATGTTACTTTTGAAGAGTGTGATGATTGCATTTAGGAAGATATCTAAACTTCTGTTTCAAAGCAAAAAGTATGTGCAAATTTCTTACTCATGACAAATTCATATAATATAAAAACATGAAAGTTGTGAGGTCAGGTTGTTTGGAGAAGTAGAAAACTTCAGTAGAGTTTATAGATAGGCAGTCTTCCTTTCTGGTTTGGCACTGACAGCAGATTAACTAGAAAGTGTTAGAAGGAACCTAAAATTTATACTAAAGTCAATTTAAGTTAATTAATATACCAGAATTCCTTCTTTTACAATTTATTTATAAAAACACCATATTGAGTTGCCTTGTAATGAGACATTTAAACTAAATTTAAATAACAGAATTCATGCACCATCTAATAACAACCCCTTATTTACAATTATAGAGTCCTTTGCAATTTTATAGATATTTTCATGTATCCCATTTGGTCCTTGAAACAATTAATGAAGAAGTTACAGCAAGTGGTATTATCATTATTTTACAGAAGAACAAAACAAAAATATATGTGGCCCAGAGATTGAGTGATTTACCTGAGGTTATAGGCTTTAGATTGCATAGCTGGAAGTAGAACCTTGTTCTTCTATATTAAATGACAATATTCATTAAGTACTTAGCACAGGATTTGGTACCTAGTAAATATTTAAATGTTCCTGTGTTATTCCTGACTATTCCTTCTTTATTCTTAAAACGCCATTTTTTGAGCACTCTTAATATTTATAGTTCAAACTTTGTACCTATGTACCTTTTTCTCTTTAGAAAATAAGATTTCAGGCTGCATTAATTTGATCTGTACAGGAATGATTATATGTTTTACATATTGGGACAAATTGCTCTTTTTTTATATACCTTAAGCTCTAGGGTACATGTGCACAACATACAGATTTGTTACATATGTATACATGTGCCATGTTAGTGTGCTGCACCCATTAACTCATCACTTACATTAGGTATATCTCCTAATGCTATCCCTCCCCCCTCCCCATACCCCATGACAGGCCCTGGTGTGTGATGTTCCCCACCCTGTGTCCAAGTGTTCTCATTGTTCAGTTCCCACCTATGAGTGAGAACACGCGGTGTTTGGTTTTCTGTCCTTGCGATAGTTTGCTCAGAATGATGGTTTCTAGCTTCATCCATGTCCCTACCAAGGACATGAAGCTCATCCTTTTTTATGGCTGCATAGTATTCCATGGTGTCTATGTGTCACATTTTCTTAATCCAGTCTATCATTGATGGACATTTGGGTTGGTTCCAAGTCTTTGCTATTGTGAATAGTGCTGCAGTAAACATACATGTGCATGTGTCTTTATAGCAGCATGATTTATACTCCTTTGGGTATATACCCAGTAATGGGATTGCTGGGTCAAATGGTATTTCTAGTTCTAGATCACTGAGGAATTGCCACACTGACTTGAACTAGTTTACAGTCCCACCAACAGTGTAAAAGTGTTCCTGTTTCTCCACATCCTCTCCAGCACCTGTTGTTTCCTGACTTTTTAATGATCACTATTCTAACTGGTGTGAGATGGTATCTCATTGTGGTTTTGATTTGCATTTCTCTGATGGCCAGTGATGATGAGCATTTTTTCATGTGTCTGTTCGCTGCATAAATGTATTCTTTTGAGTAGTGTCTGTTCATATCCTTCGCCCACTTTTTGATGGGGTTGTTTGATTTTTTCTTGGAAGTTTGTTTAAGTTCTTTGTAGATTCTGGATATTAGCCCTTTGTCAGATGGGTAGATTGTAAAAGTTTTCTCCCATTCTCTAGGTTGCCTGTTCACTCTCATGGTAGTTTCTTTTGCTGTGCAGAAGCTCTTTAGGACAAATTGTTCTTAAATAATGAACAGTTGGCACTTTTTCAACTGGAAAATTCAAGGAACTGCTCTTTCTGCTTTCTGCTCAATATGAATCTTCAATTTAGAAATGAGAGTCCATCATTAACAATTCAACATAGCTTATTAATAGGAAAAAAAAACCTAGTAACAAATGTAAAATCTTTGATTAAATGAGAAAGTCATAGAAGTTCATCAGATTTGTATTTAAAGCATGATTTCATTAGAAAAGTTGATAATAAGGATTTAACTGTGACATAATTGGAAAATACTTGTTTAAACTTAAAATTTTGAAAAGAAATGTAAATGTGATGTAACTTATGAATCAGTGGTTGAGTTTCTTTTTTGCTCACAAGAACCCTAACTGTGTGTTACTTGAAAGCACTGATGGAAATCAGGGAAAAAGCTCCAGAAGTTCCTACGAAATAAAATTAAATGATAAAGTCCTGGTATCTGCTAACTTGCCTTCCATTCCTGTTATCTTTTCTTCTTAGTCTGACTTCATTAATTCTTTCACCCTGGCTACTGGTTTAGCTCAGTGTTTTATGAGCCAGGCAGCTTCAGACTTTGCTTTTGATGCTCTTTGTTCATTACCTCTAAAGCTGTATTATCACTTTCATTTTATCATTAATGTTTCATGTATATGTTATAGTTTCATATTGTTACTGCAACTTTTACTTAGCTATAATTTAAAAAATATCTGTGATCTGTGGAAATAATTATTCTATGGCAGAAAAGTAGTTATTGCATTTTACTTTATAAGTTGTTTAAGGATAAGCATACCTATATATTAAGCACTACAAAGAAACTTTTACAATGGCTTTATTTTTAGCAAACCATCATAGTTAAAATAAGATTTAGTGTACATGTCAGGAACACAGTCTTATGAAATAAGGTTTAGGGAGCTATTTTTAGTTACTATATCCTACTTGAAAATTGTAGTTAAATTTCTAGCATATACCCTATTAATTTAGATGCAAGTACAGATTTGAGATAAGGTAGATACATTATTTGGATGTCAACTCGGAAGTTGTTCAAGAAAAGATATTTTGTTATTTAGATGTAACTTGGAACATATTTCTAGTGTTTCAAGTCATGATTGTATGCCTAGAACAGGCAATAAAAATTTACTTAGCTGGTAAAACAGCCACATTATTTCAAATATAGTTTAGTTATATTATGGATTAAATTGATTTTTGTGGACAGACTTTAGAACTTAATTGCTATTAATTACATTTTTTCTTTGGGACGGTATTTGTTCTTTGGTGAGAAAGGATTCTTGTAACACCTAAATCAAGACTGTCCAAACATGGCATATGCAGTTTACCAGTCAAAACAAACTAATCACTTAAGATCTGTGTATTTTGTTTTATTTGAATTATACCTCAATTAAAACAAATTTAGCATGTTTACACAAAGGTGGGGGGAAACTGTCTAATATATCTGAGATCTGTTGGAGCTGGGGTGACCATCCAACTTAGGCAAGATAGCTAGTACCATGTATGCATTTCTTTTACCTTTCTTATTGTATATACAGTAATCACTGATATTATGAGAAAAAGAACTTTTTAATAATTCAGGAGATATTTTATCGCTAGTATATATTGAGTGCTTATTATGTGCCTTATATACTTTGGACTCATTTAATCCTCAACACAACAACCCTATGTAGTTCATACTAGAATTATTCCCATTTAAAGATGGGGAAAGTGATGTTTAGAGAGGCTAAGTGACTTGCCCATGGCCAAAGTATTAGAACTGGGATTTGAACACAGGTAGCCTGATTCCTAAATAAATGACCACTAACATTAAAAAGACATAAACATAGAGGTGTTTGTTGCAATGTTAGTCATAATACCTAAAAATTGTGAACTAGTTAAATGTCCAATAGTAGTAAAATGGTTCATTAACCATGGTACACCCATCAATATAATGTTATATTGTCATTTAAAATTGTATTCCCAAGTTTCGTATCAGGAAAATATAATAAATTTTTGAAAAATGTAATGGGATATATTGTATTTATAATACAGTAATCACTATGTAACCAACATTTTTATTTCCATCAAAAATTAGTTATAAAGAAATAGAAATCTAAGAAGTTTAATAGATATTACCATTGAACACTAGATTTGTATTAGTATCTTTTATATTTATCTCTCTCATTTCCTATATTGGCCATGTTTACTTTTAAAATAGTAAAAGTCATAAGCTCTATTTTAAAAATAAATGTTAGTTTATTAACCCAAGAATAATAGCTAACTATAAATTCATATTTGATAAAATAAAAAGATGACATTCATCATAAGGGATACATACCTGTGCTAGCATATGGCATTTTTAAAATCACATGAGTAATTTGTAATCATCATAGAAATATTAGAAAATACAAATAAGCAAACACATACTGAAAATTTAGTGTTCCCAAATCTAAAACAGAGACACTGTTTTTTTCTTTTGGGATTGTATTTTAGATATGTTCTTAAGTTATAATAAAGTAAATACTTAAAAGGCAAATTGATACATTAAGGATTTCAAAGAGTAAAACTTTTTGTTAAGCTTTGATGTTCTTTAGAAAGTTTAGATTATTCCACAAGTCACTGTCGTTGAAAGAAAAGTAGTTACAGTGGGGTCTTATGGGATAAGGCATTACCATTTGTTCAGTTGAGAGACAGCTATCACTATGTTTTAAGCATTGTTCATATATTAGCTCATTTAATCCTCATAGCAACCTTATATGATAGGTACCTTTATTAGCCCCATTCTGCTTAGGAAGCAACAGAAAGAGTATGTATTTTGCCTAAGGTTGCACAATAAGTTAAGCTGGGGTTCCAATTCTAGCAAGTTGGTTCTAGAGTGTATGTTATTAACCATTATGCCGTAGTGCCTGCAAGTAGATCTCTAGATGTCAGAAATACTCATCTTCCTCTGGTTACCTGGTTGTTATAAATCTTTATGCTTAATACTTATGTCATTATATGTAAATTTCGTATTAAACACTCAACTTATTCAGAAGAATATCAGGTAAGTGTAGGTTAAGGCTGTTTTCTATCAGAAATCATTATATGTATATATATTCCTCAGTTCTTATGTTGTTTAGTTTTTCTAAAATGTCAAATTTTATAATATATGGAGAAGTATAAATGTATATTAGAAAGATTTTGTTTATTTGTGTAATTTGTGGCATAAGAAATATTTGCCTCAAGATTTGGTGCTTGTTTAGGTAGTTGCTGGCATTACTTTTGGAAATGTCAGTAAATTTTCATACTGTCTTGGAATTTTTTCAATTTTTACATTTTATTAGTAAATGTAATTACAGGTTAGTAAATCACTTATTTGAACCTGTTTCCTTTGAAAGTTTTATATTTTTATTTGGAAATAGAAAAACCTTAATTTCCTCTCGTTGGGCAGTATGGTGTCAAAAGCTTGGGCTTTGGAGCTTCGTATATAATCTGGGTTCAAATTATAACTTACTAGTTACTAACTTGGGCAAATTACCCAGTCTTTTTGACTCTCAATTTCTTTGTCTATGAAATGTAATACTATTTAGGATTGTTAGGATTAAATGAGAATATATTTGGCATACTGTCTGGTACATGATACTTAACAGGTACTAGTTGTCTACATCTTTCTAACTTAGGATGGATGCCGATGTCTTGGGTAACATCTCAAACTTTATCAGTAAGGAAGGTGAGAATCTGAAGAAAATGAAACCTTAAAAAGATTGAATTCCTGGACTCCATTTAAAGGAGTAAATAGCTCACGAACAAGACTTGCTGCTCTGCAAAGTCTTCCATGTTGATCCTGGTCTTTGACTCCTTATCTGTCTGATTAAATTGAATTCGCTGCCGTGGCATCCTTAAAGCTGGACCTTACTTTGTCAGTCCTGCCTTCTCCATGTTGCTTTGTGTGTAAGCTTCACTGGACTGTTTGCTTTTTGCTGATTATTTTATGTATTTCCATATGTCTACTTTAGCCTTTGCTTGGAATGTTCTAACTGCTCTTGTTTCTTCCTCTGTTTACTGGTTTCTGACTTAACTCTTAAGGATTATCTAATATATTACCTACTTGGTGAAGGTTTATCTGTGTCCCCACAGAATTAATCCTTCCCTCTTTAACTCTTAAGCTATCTTATTTTTTATCTAATCGGGTCTTTGGCACAATTATAGGTCTGTGTGTCTGTCTTCCCTAATAGAATAGGAAAGCCTTGAGGACAGTAGTCTTTGCTTACTTAGCCTTATATTCTCAGTGCCCCTTGTGCAAAACGTTCAATATATGTTTGAATGATTATGTGAATGAAGGAGGGGGCCAGCTGAATTTACTTTAATGATTATGTAACACCCATTTATGTATAGTTATAGACTTGTCTGAAATGAGTTAAATCCTTTGCAACGTTTGCTGCTATGCTTTGAATGTCTCTTACAAAACTCATGTTGAAATTTAATTGCCATTGTAATGGTATTAAGAGATGGAACCTTTAAGAGGTGATTAGATAATGGTATCTCTATCCTTATGAATGGATTAATGCTGTTTGAATGGTAGTGGATGAGTTATCTTGGGAGTTTGGCCTCCTCCGTCTCACATGCTTCCTTACCTTCTGCCATGTGGTAACTCAACACAAAGATCCTTGCCAGATGCTGATGCCATGCTCTTGGACTTCCCAGTCTCCAGAACCGTGAGCCAAATACATTTCTGTTCATTCTAAACTACCTGTTTTGTGGTATTCTAGTAAAGCAACATAAAATTTACTAAGAAAACTGGTACCAAGAGTGTGATTGTTGCCATAACAAATACCTGAAAATGTTCAAATGGCTTGGGTTCTGGCTAGAGAAGGATGGAAGAGTTTGGATGAACAGGCTAGAAAAAGCCTGTATTGCTGAGAATAGAGCATTAAGGACAATTCTGATGAGGATTCAGAAGAAGAGAGCTGTAGGGAAAATCTGGAACTTCTTAGAGAGTTGTCATCAGTTGGTAGAACTATAAGTGGTAAAGGTCTTTCTGATGATATCTCAGAAATGAAGAACAAGATACTGGACACTGGAGTAAAGGCCATCCTTGTTAAATAGTTGCAAAGAACTTGGCGAAATTATGTTCATATCCTAAGACTTTATGGAATGCAGAATTTAAGAGTGATGAACTAGGATATGCTGCAGAAGAAATAACTCAGCAGCAGAGCATTTAGGTTACTGGATGGCTACTTTTAACCACTTAAACTAAGCTGGGGGAAGGGAATGACTTGAAGACAGAATTTATAATTAAAAGAGAGGCAGAATGGAAATACTTGGAAAATTTGCAGCCTGGCCATAGTAAAGAATGCAAAAGGTATGTTTAGGAGAGCAAACCAAGGGTGTGGTCCAGGAACCATTTGCTGAAGAGATTAATATTCCTAGAGGAGACCCAAGGGCTATTTATCAAGACAGTGGAAAAAGACCCCAGAGGCATTTTGGAGATCTTTGAGGCTGCCTGCCCCATCACAGGCCCAGAGCTCTAGGAGGGCAGAATGGTTTGTGGCTCAGGTGGTCCTTCACAAGCTTGCTGCCCAGGGCTACCTCAGCTCCCCATATTTCAACCCAGTGGGCCTTGGCTGTCCTAGGTCTGGTTCAGAGGGGCCCAGGTGTGGCTTAGGCTACTGCTGAGTACTCAAATGGTAAACCTTGGCAGCGTCTATATGGTGCTAATTCTGCAGGCTCACAGGATGAAAGAGCTGTGGGAGACATGGCTACCACCACCAGGATTTCAAAGGATGATGGGGATAGTCTGGGAGAGACTTGCCACAGGCTTGGAGCCTCTGAAGGGTGGAAATGTGGGTTGGAGTCACTACAGAGAGTCCCTACTAGGGCATTGCATAATGGAGCCATGGCAGCAGGCCCACCACCAAAGCTTCAGAACTGTAGAGCTACAAGTATACAGTGCCAGCCTGGGAGAACTTCAGGCTTGAGACCCTAACCTGTGAAAGCTGCATGGGCTAAGTACAGCAAAGCCATGGAGGTGGGGCTTCCCAGGGTCTATTGGGATGAAACGAATGTATTTTGTAGGTGAGAAGGACATGAGTTTTGAGGCCCAGGGGCAGAATGCTATGGTTTGGTTGTTTCCTTCAAAACTCATGTTGAAACTTCATTGCCATGTGGCATTATTATGAGGTGGAACCTTTCAGAAGTGGTTACATTATAAGGGCTTTGCCTTCATTAATGGATTAATGCCATTATTGCAGGTGTGGGTTAGTTATCTCTGGAGTTTGGCCCCCTTTTTCTCTATCATGTGCTCATGCCCTCTTTTGCCATGTGATGCCTTCTACCATGTTATGATGCATCCAGAAGACTCTCACCACATGCAGCCCCTTGATCTTAGACTTCTCAGCTTCTAGAACTGTGAGTGAAATAAACTTCTTTTCTTTATAAATTACCCCGTCTGTGGTATTGTATAGCAGCAGAAAATAGACATCAGCCTGAAGTTCCCCCAGGCTGGCATTAAATACTAATTATTAATTAGTATTTATAGTGCAAGGATAAATTCAAGTTTAGCCCTGGTTAGAATGACCACATTTCAAGGGAGGGGCTTTGTACTTCTGTGCATATCTGTAAGGATAAAAATCTTAATACTATTCTCACTGAAATTAATGGTTTAGGTTAGGTAAGGTTGTTAGTGCTAATAATTATTTCTTTTAATAAAATATTCTTAGTTGCGTTGTTCAAAAAACATAGATGATTTGAATTTATATTTTTTGGCCAAAATATATTTATAATTTTGAGTAGGAATTCCAGAGTATTGGTAGCTATAACCACTTTGGGTTCCCTGCCATTGCTTCTGGTGCCTCATTTTTTCTGACGTCTTCCATTTTCTTACATTTGTCTTCTAAGGTGGAGTTAAGATTACTCAGTTAAGATTATTTCACTTTAGGCCTCTGCTGTCTTCTGCTTTTTTTTTTAAAATGAATGGATATAATATCCCAATACATTTTGATAATTGAACAACAGCTACATTTTTAAGTGAGGCTACTTTCTTCTAATTTTTTAAATTTATTTTTCTCAGTTTTTAAAAAAAATGTCAGATTGGCTAAGAGTTGGGGCAGCTTTCTTATGTGAGAGTAGTAGATGACAGCAAATATTTGTGATGTTAAAATGATAATCCTAATAGTTTTCTTTTAGAATCTTTATAATAAAAACCCTTTGAGGCTGAGGGTGAATTTGTATGTTCCTAAAGTGACAAAAAATGTTCTTGGGGCATAGTAATTTAAATCTTAGATGCTTTTATTAGTATAATTTTTTGGTAGAAATTTGGCATTAAAAAATGCATACAGAGCTTTTTCTACATACAGGGCAAGACAGCATTTTGTCATGGCAATTAGTAAATAGATAATTATAAAACATCTAATTTTAAGCAATTTGTTACAGAAACGATACAGGTACATTGTGGCAAAAATAGAAGATACAAAACAAGCAAATATGAGAAAAAATATACATGCCACCACCTATATATGACTTTTAGTACTTTATAATCTTTTGTCTATATATGTCTATATGGATATATACGTATTCTTTTTATCCAAATGGTATTACATTGTACATTCTGTTTTGAAACCTGCCTTTTTTAGTCATTTACATCTACTTTTCCATCTCAGTAACTTTTCATCTTGTGTAATGCCCGGATCACATTAAAATGTTTCCAATTAGCTCAAAAATGTCCTTTATGGCTGGTTTGGCTAAAACAGTATCCAGGCCAGCATTGCACCTATGAAATTGGCTGTTAGGAATCTTGTATCTTTAAAAATCAAGGGCAGCAACCCATCCTCCCGCTTCCCCCACCTCCCACCACCCCCCCACCTTTTTTTTTTCTTAAAGATACTGGCTTGTTGAAGAGAGAATGGGTCATGTCCTACAAACTGTCTGAATTTGTCCAGTTTGCTGTCTCATAGTGTCATTTAGCTTGTTTTATCCTATGTATTTCCTGCAAATTAAAATTTGTATCTGAATCCTTGGTGGATTTGAGTTGAAGATCCTTAACCATCATAGATGATGCTGTGTCCTTTATATTGCATGTCAGAAGTTACATGATCTTTACTTGATTCATGATGAGGAGATGGCCACTGAAATTGGACAGTGACAGTCTTTTCTGCCCATTGTTCAATTATATTCGTCTCTTTACATTAGAAAGTATTTTGGGTAGTAGTATTTTGGTGCTGTAAGAAAGTTCATTTTCTCATCAACCACTCACCTATTGGTTTAACACCATTTGTTGATCTTTGAGTATATCAGTAATTTCATCAGGGTTTGCAAAATAAGACTTTAAATTCTATTGTTTTACATTATTAATTGATGTTTTTTGATAAGGTAGAACTTGTGAAATGGGACTATTTGTTTGTCTTTAAATACAGTCTCTATAGGAAAGACAAAATAAATACTTAAATCTCACTCTTTACCATTTTTCAAAGTGAAGAACTATTCCGTTAACCACCTCAAAAGATGATAAATAAAAAGGGTATTTTTAGTTGTTTCAACTTTTTTTTTTTTTTTGAGATGGGGTCTTACTCTGTTGCCCAGGCTGGTGTGCTGTGGTGCAATCATGGTACACCGAAGCCTCAGTCTCCCTGGGCTCAGATGATTCTCCCACCTCAGCCTGGGACTAAAGGTGTACACCACCATGGCCAGCCAATTTTTTTGTATTTTTTGTAGAGATGGGGTTTTGCCATATTGCCCAGCCTAGCCTCAAACTCCTGGGCTGAAGGAATCCACCCATCTCAGCCTCCCAAAGTGCTAGGATTACAGACGTGACCAACAATATCCGGCCTTAACTTTTTTCTTTTGAGTGTCTTTATAGACTCAAGGACTTTTATTTAATTCAGGGTGTTAGTACCATTTAAATGTTTTCTTTGATGCTCAGATTATCACAGCTAGTCATTTGGACCTTTATACCACCTCCTATGTCCATTTGATATAGGCCATTAATCTCTATAAGCCTTCCTCCTTCTCTTGGAATGAAAAGGTATCCTAGGCTCACCTGTACCTTCCCTACTCCAGACCTGGCATTAAGTCTTTTTCCAAGGAGTTTGGTACCTTTTAGTTTATTATGATATTAGAGATGAAAATCTGTGTTCTAGGAATGTTTATTACTGCTAGAGTGATGTTGCTTTTAGGCCATTTCAGAGAAAAGACCTAGAAAACAGATTTTTACAAACATGAATTCATACTGATATTTTTAGTTTTTTACATGATTTCTTGATTTTACAATATTATCTGCTTTCTTAACTTAAAATTATGAACCTTAAAGTCATTAGCATAACTTCTTTGCTTATTTCTACAACATAAAGAAAATAGTCCTGGTGCGGTGGCTCACACTGTAATCCCAGCACTTTGGGAGATTGAGGCAGGTGGATTGCTTGAGCTCAGGAGTTCAAGACCAACCTGGGCAACATGATGAAACCTTGTCTTTACAAAAAATTAGCTGGGCATGGTGGCATGTGCTTGTATTCCCAGCTACTCAGGAGGCTGAGGTGGGAGGATCACCTGAGCCCAGGAGGTCAAGGCTCTAGTGAGCCATGATCATGCCACCACACTCCAGCCTGGGTGACAAAGTGAGACCCTGTTTCAGGGGGAAAAAAAAGATAAAATAGTTTGAGGAGGCTGGATGTAGTGGCTCATGCATGTCATCCTGGCACTTTGGGAGGTCAAGGTGGGAGGATGGCTTGAGCCCAGGAGTTTGAGACCAGCCTGTGCCACATCATGAGACCTGGTCTCTATTTAAAAAAAAAAAAAAAAGAAAATAGTTTGAGGATATCAATAATGATATTACTAGAATCAGTAAAACTACCAAAAGAAGTTTAAAGTTTCTTCCTAGTGTTTTTTTGTTCTTAGAATACTTCCTACCAAGAAGTGCAGTAAAAGTGCAGTGTCCAAATAGCCCTTGTAACAAAACCTTTCTCTTTCTCCTGGGTGCCAATTTGACATTTAATCAGTTTTGTTTCTAGCAGTGTTCAATTTATTAGATTATAAGTCTTTTTTTTCTTTATATTATTCTAAGATCAAAAATATATAAAGATATACACAGGAGTCCTGCTGCTACCTGTTCTTGCTATGCTTTTCCCCTTTTCTTCCCTTTCTCTGTGAAGCAGCCATTTTTATTAGTTTCTTGTTTATCACTCATGCATGCATATGTTTATTGAGGATGTTGACATTCAAGCAAATATATGGGTTAACATTCTTTTTGTCATCCCTATACGAAAGATATACCCAGTATACTCTATTGGGTGGGTTTTTTTCCTTAAAATATTCAGTAGATCTCTCCAGTTAGCACATAGTTATCTTATAGATAGAACATATACATATAACCTTTTCTTAAACTATGCTATTAAAATAATAGCTTTCAGTAACTTGATAATTATTTTTGGATTGAAAATACTACTGAAATCAACTCAATCATGTGAAAGCTGCAGAAAGAAAAAGACCTAGAAAAAGGGCATTGGATTAGGTCAACTTTGAATTTTATTTGGAAGATAAATGAGTCCAGAAGTGAGTGGGCAGAGATTATTGGAGTTGGTCTTGAAATGAGGCGTTAGGCAGATTGACTGGGCTGGTGTGAAAGGTCTGTCAGAAAATCATGAGATTAGATTGAGGTACCTCAAAAAATGAGAGCTGGTATGATGAGTGGGTAAGAATCATAAAAGCGTAGAGTGTTGATGATTTTTATAGTTTATAAATGGTTCTTGTGTGTAGAGTTTTGTTTTTATGCTAGCTATAGTCTGTAACATAATTCACTATAATGGGCATGCTAAATATCCATGACAGTTGACCCTTGAACAACACAGAGGGTAGGGGCGCCTACCCCTGTGCAGTTGAAAATTCACATGTAACTTTTGACTCCCCAAAACTTAATATTTAGCCTATACTTGACTAGAAGTCTTACTGATGACATAATGTTCGTTAATACATATTTTATATATGTGTCAGATAGCATATTTGTATAATAAAGTAAGCTGCAGGAAAAATATTAAAATCATAAAGAAGAGAAAATATACTTACTATTCATTAAGTGGAAGTGGATCCTCATAAAGGTCTTCATCCTCACTGCCTTCACTTTGAGTAGGCCGAGGAGTAGGAGAGAGAGGAAAGGTCAGACTTGCTGTCTCATGGGTGGCAGAGGTAGAAGAAGGTCCACATACAAGTGGTCCGACACAGCTCAAACCGGTTTTGTTCATTGGCCAACTGTAGTTTGATTGAAAGTAATAATAAATGAAGTTTCTGCCTCAGTTCAGTATTATCAAGTCATAGATAGCAAGGGCTGGAAGAAACCTTAGTAGTAATCTCTTTGAGTCTAATTATCATGTAGAATAGGAAATTGCGGTCTAGAAAGGTTAAGTGACTTGTCCAAATTACACAACTAGTTAGAGACATAGCCAGCTCTTAAATCTGACTTCCAGATTTTCACTGTGTCTTCTTTTTTCTGTAACGTGTTGCCTTTTTTAGCCATGAAAAATTAGAAGTTGAACTCTTGTCTTTTCAGGCAGGTGTCAATTTTGGGGTTTTGTTTTGATTTTTGGTTTTTGACATAAAGTACTTTAGTTCTGTGATGTATAAACCGTGAGTTTCTGTTTTTCTCATATACCTGAATACTGTCCATGTGGAAGTTACCTTTTATCTTTACCAGTATTAACACATAAATGGTTATACATAAATACATTGACCACCTTTTATTACTCCAGCTATAGTGGGGAAAACTTTCTTTTCATAACTAGCTAATGTTTTAAAAAGTATTCTTTTAGTTTGATTGCTGCATATTTCAGATATTTCTTTCCTTAACTAAAGTACTCAGATATTTATCCAAACATTATTGCTATGGGATTTCCTGCAGAAAGACTTGAAGGCGTATACAGGAACAATATTGATGATGTAGTAAGGTAAGAATGCTTTGATTTTCTATTTCAAATATTGATGTTTATATTCATGTTGTGTTTTCATTTAGAAAAGATTTCTAAGCCACAGAAAAAGATACTTTGTGATGTAAACTATTATTGTAGTGCTCTATAATCATTTTTTGGCTTACCGTACCTAATGGACTTCAGGGGGATACAGTTCATTTGATAAGAACTGACCTTATACATTACATAATCAGGTACTTATGTGATATCATTTCCTGGACTCCATAAAATGCTGGTCACCAGGTTTAATACCTGGATTCCATTACAGTGTGATTTTTGTCTTATTTCATAGTTGGGGATTAGGCTTAAAATCCTAGAGTGGATTTATTCAGTTAAATTTATTCACACTAAGATGTAGATGACTAATACTGTATATTTTTATGTAGACCAAATTTTAAGGTACCACTGTGCATATGTATACCAACTACCTGAAGAAGTATTTGGTTGGTACAAGAGATATAGAAAGGAATCGCTGGGTGTACCAAGGCTAATCAGTTTTATAATTTTGCATAATTTTCTAACTGCGATTATCATTTAGTTTAGAACAATTTATTTCTCAAGGCCCATGTAAATATTATTTTTAAAATATACAGTCTTAAGAATTCATGGCATATTTTATGAAAGGAGGAATTCATGTCTGATGTGCAAATAGTCTTAAGATATTTTCTAATTTCAGAGCAAAAATATATATGTATGAATAAATTAACTGTAAATTGTCAGTAGGAACCTTAAGAATTCGTGGCGTATTTTATGAAAGGAATTCATGTCTGATGTGCAAATAGTCTTAACATATTTGCTAATTTCAGAGCAAAAATATATGTGTATTAATAAATCAACTGTAAATTGTCAGTAAGAACCTTAATGGCTTTAAAAGTTAAAATTTCAGGTCAAGCATTGTGGTGTGCTCCTGTAGTCCCAGCTACTTGGGAGGCTGAGGTGGGAGGATCACTTGGCTTGAACCCCCAGGTAGAGGGTAGAGGCCAGTCTGGGTAACACAGCGAGAACCCATCTCTTAAAAAAAAAGTTTAAGTTGTGGATTATTTCCTTTACACTCTTTCATTAGTATCTTTCCTGGAGACTTTCAATTTAAATACTTGGTGCTTATGACAATTAGATGTTAAAATGGATGGGAAAGTACTTTGTAACTTATAAAGCATTATGCAGATGTAGACTCCTTTTATAATAGTTGTGTAAGTATATAAGACAACCTACATTCTTCATGAGCTAGCCATAAGTTTTAGCAACTTGCTTTGAACCACGGTAGATTTACAATTTTCTGTAGTATTGAGTTGTGTTCATTTAGAATTTTGTAATATTTATATTGAAAATCAAATTTTTGTACCTACAAAAACTACAAAAAAATCCCCCTAGTTTTTATAGTTTCTATTAAAATTATAGCTGGTACATAGGGATGCCAGAAGGACTGTTTAAGAAGCTGAAAATAGAGAAATGAATTTATCTTCTCATAGTTAGGCAGGGCACAGTAGAAGGATGCTTAACATTGCAAGCTGATGGGAACAGCAGGTTGATATAGCTTGTGATAACACTTCTAAAGAAAAAGCAATGAGCCATAGAAAAAAGAAAAAGATACATTTTGAATTAAGGAAGATGGTGAATCTGGGAAGTGAGCAGTACAGTCACCAGACGTGTATCCTCTCCTATGGTACAGAAGTGTTTATTGGGTCTCTTTATGGCCTGCATGATATATCCCACAAGATGACCTACTTCACATTATTTTAATTCTGTATTCAACTAAGCACTAATTCAACCCAGCCAGATTAGTACTCATACCAAAAAAGAGTGAATACTCTGAATAGAGGGCAGGTTTTCTGATTATGGTGAGAATATCTTTGTGGTAAATTAATCTGGTGTGCTAGTTTTTACGTTGGTCTCTTCTCAGTGTCGTTAGTCACTGAGGCTGATTGATCATCTTTTAGGTTACTGATAAAGTTCCTGTACAGCTGATTTTCAGACCTTAGATTGCAATAACTTCACCAAGAAAATACTTCATTGGGAAGCATTTTGGTCCTTCCATTTGATTCATAACTCTTACCTTTATGCCTCTGAAGGAAAAGATTTATACATTCAGCTTGTAATTAGTAATCAAGACTGAGGTTTAGTCTATCTAGCTTCACAATCTATCTAGTTTGTTTTGTCTAGCCATATGATTTCTTCAAATATGCCATTTCTTAAAAAAAAATGTTTTATGTATCCCGATTAATATTTAGCCAGTGGTTCTTTTAGCCGATGGATCTTGTCACCTCTTATGATACTATTAATAGCATGTCAACATGAAGAATTATCTGCTGAATATAATAGCTATGCTGTCCTTGTTTCCTTTTGTCTCATTCTTTTTTGATTGGGGGATAATTGGCCAATAAAGCTTTGATAGCCTCTATTGCCCAGGCCCCTCCTCTTCTTTTATGAGAGAAAGGATGAACAGTGACCAGAAATAAAGGTATTGTTTTTTTCTATCAACTAAAATGGAAATAAATAATTCCTAAGTAATTTGCCTGTTAGGATTAAAGTCTCCAAGAGAATGGCTGTGCCTAGTACCTAAGTGATTAATTTCCTTGATTGGTTCACATTATATTGAGGATATTAGTAATCAGTAGTGATTCCTTTTTTGGTTCAAAGATGATAGTGTCACAGTGAAAAATGTTTTTAAAATTTTTGTATACTTAATTTTTCTGTTAACGAAAGTATTTTCAGTTGGATTTTTGTTTGCCCTCTCTATTAGAATGCCCAAAGAATATTTAAAATTTTCCTTTTCTCTTATACTGCATATTTTTCCTGTGATTTTTCCCCAAACGGAAAATACTCTGCAGAGATTAGACTTTGTTATTGTTGTACTACATCATTGCTTTGACTAAAATAAACTCAGATTGCAAATACCTTCAAGCTTACATTGCTCAGTATTTTTTTTTTTTTTTTTTTTTGAGACGGAGTCTCACTCTTGTCGCCCAGGCTGGAGTGCAGTGGTGCCATCTCAGCTCACTGCAACCTCTGCCTCCTGGGTTCAAGCGATTCTCCTGCCTCAGCCTGCGGAGCAGCTGGGATTATAGATGCCCGCCCCCACGCCCAGCTGATTTTTGTATTTGTAGTAGAGATGGGGTTTTACCTTGTTGGCCAGTCTGGTCTCAAACTCCTGACCTCGGGTGATCCATCTGTCTCGGCCTCTGGAATTACAGGTGTGAGCCGCCACGCCTGGCTAAATTGATCAGTATTATTTAACTTTGAGGGATATGATTTGTTATGGAATGCGAAGTTTTATACTTGAGGTACTCAGAGTCCTTTTGAGACAAATATTTAACTTCTCCTTTTGAGGTTACCGCCTACGATTGGGAATTAATGTAAAAAATAAGCCAAAAGAAAGTGAGGGAAAAGTGAACCAAGCTGTAATTTTTTTACTCTTTTTTATTGTTGTTGTTATTGTTGCTGTTTTTTACTATCTTGATTGCAACAGTTTGGCTTATATATATAGCATTTGGAATTGACAGTAAGAAAGCCACATCTCATAGAAGCTAACTATTCCCAAATTGTTTTTTTCTTCTTTTCCTCTTACTACTGCTGTTTTCCTCCTTTCTTGCTGCTAAGCTCTTGTCCTGACATGCTGGTAATATGAAACAGTGTTTTATTCAGATAATTGATTATTCTGTAATATGTATGTTAATCTTTTTTATTACACTTTAAGTAATAGGGTACATATGCACAACTTACAGATTCGTTACATATGTATACATGTGCCGTGTTGGTTTGCTGCACCCATTAACTCGTCATTTACATTAGGTATTTCTCCTAATGTTATCCCTCTCCCAACCCCCCACCCCAGGACAGGCCCCGGTGTGTGATGTTCCCCGCCCTGTGTCCAAGTGTTCTCGTTGTTCAGTTGCCACCTGTGAGTGAGAACATGCGGTGTTTGGTTTTCTGTCCTTGCGATAGTTTGCTCAGAATGATGGTTTCCAGCTTCATCTATGTCCCTACAAAGGACGTGAAGCTCATCCTTTTTTATGGCTGCATACTACTCCGTGGTGTATATGTGCCACATTTTCTTAATCCAGTCAGTCATTGATGGACATTTGGGTTGGTTCTAATTCTTTGCTATTGTGAATAGTGCTGCAGTAAACATACGTATGCATGTGTCTTTATAGTAGCATGATTTATAATCCTTTGGATATATACCCAGTAATGGAATTGCTGGGTCAAATGGTATTTCTAGTTCTAGATCCCTGAGGAATTGCCACACTGTCTTCCACAATGGTTGAACTAGTTTACAGTCCCACCAACAGTGTAAAAATGTTCCTGTTCCTCCACATCCTCTCCAGCACCTGTTGTTTCCTGACTTTTTAATGATCGCCATTCTAACTGGTGTGAGATGGTATCTCATTGTGGTTTTGATTTGCATTTCTCTGATGGCCAGTGATGATGAGCATTTTTTCATGTGTCTGTTGGCTGCATAAATGTCTATAAATGTCTTCTTTTGGAAAGTGTCTGTTCATATCCTTTGCCCACTTTTTGATGGGGTTGTTTGATTTTTTTCCTGTAAATTTGTTTAAGTTCTTTGTAGATTCTGGATATTAGCCATTTGTCAGATGGGTAGATTGCAGAAATTTTCTTCCATTCTATAGGTTGCCTGTCCACTCTGATGGTAGTTTCTTTTGCTGTGCAGAAGCTCTTTAGTTTAATTAGATCCCATTTGACTATTTTGGCTTTTGTTGCCATTGCTTTTGGTGTTTTAGTCATGAAGTCCTTGCCCATGCCTATGTCCTGAATGGTATTGCCTAGGTTTGCTTCTAGGGTTTTTATGGTTTTAGGTCTACATTTAAGTCTTTAACATTTAAGTCTTTAATCCATCTTGAATTAATTTTTGTATAAGGTGTAAGGAAATGATCCAATTTCAGCTTTCTACATATGACTAGCCAGTTTTCCCAGCACCATTTATTAACTAGGGAACCCTTTCCCCATTTCCTGTTTTTGTCAGGTTTGTCAAAGATCAGATGGTTGTAGATGTGTCATGTTATTTCTGAGGGCTCTGTTCTGTTCCATTGGTCTATATCTCTGTTTTGGTACCAGTACCATGCTGTTTTGGTTACTGTAGCCTTGTAGTATAGTTTGAAGTCAGGTAGTGTGATGCCTCCAGCTTTTTTCTTTCTGCTTAGGATTGTCTTGGCAGTGCGGGCTCTTTTTTGGCTCCATATGAACTTTAAAGTAGTTTTTTCCAATTCTGTGAAGAAATTTATTGGTAGCTTGATGGGGATGGCATTGTTTCTATAAATTACCTTGGGCAGTGTGGCCATTTTCACGATATTGATTCTTCCTACCCATGAGCATGGAATGTTCTTCCATTTGTTTGTGTCATCTTTTATTTCGTTGAGCAGTGGTTTGTAGTTCTTGAACAGGTCCTTCACATCCCTTGTAAGTTGGATTCCTAGGTATTTTATTCTCTTTGTAGCAGTTGTGAGTGGGAGTTCACTCATGATTTGGCTCTCTGTCTGTCTGTTATTGGTGTATAAGAATGCTTGTGATTTTTGCACATTGATTTTGTATCCTGAGACTTTGCTGAAGTTGCTTATCAGCTGAAGGAGATTTTGGGCTGAGACAGTGGGGCTTTCTAAATATACAATCATGTCATCTGCAAACAGGGACAATTTGACTTCCTCTTTTCCTAATTGAATACCCTTTATTTCTTTCTCTTGCCTGATTGCCCTGGCCAGAACTTCCAACACTGTGTTGAATAGGAGTGGTGAGAGAGGGCGTCCCTGTCTTGTGCCAGTTTTCAAAGGGAATGCTTCCAGTTTTTGCCCATTCAGTATGATACTGGCTGTGGGTTTGTCATAAATAGCTCTTATTATTTTGAGATACGTTCCATCAATACCTAATTTATTGAGAGTTTTTAGCATGAAGGGCTGTTGAATTTTGTCAAAGGCCTTTTCTGCATCTATTGAGATAATCATGTGGTTTTTTGTCTTTGGTTCTCTTTATGTGATGGATTATGTTTATTGATTTGCGTATGTTGAACCAGCCTTGCATCACAGGGATGAAGCCAACTTGATCTTGGTGGATAAGCTTTTTGATGTGCTGCTGGATTCGGTTTGCCAATATTTTATTGAGGATTTTTGCATTGATGTTCATCAGGGGTGTTGGTCTAAAATTCTCTTTTTTTGTTGTGTCTCTGCCAGGCTTTGGTATCGGGATGGTGCTGGCCTCCTAAAATGAGTTAGGGAGGATTCCCTCTTTTTCTATGAATTGGAATAGTTTCAGAAGGAATGGTACCAGCTCGTCTTTTTACCTCTGGTAGAATTCGGCTGTGAATCTGTCTGGTCCTGGACTTTTTTCGGTTGGTAGGCTATTAATTATTGCCTCAATTTCAGAGCCTGTTACTGGTCTATTCAGGGATTCAACTTCTTCCTGGTTTAGTCTTGGGAGGGTGTATATGTCCAGGAATTTATCCATTTCTTCTAGATTTTCTAGTTTATTTGCATAGAGGTGTTTATAGTATTCTCTGATGGTAGTTTGTATTTCTGTGGGATCAGTGGTGATATCCCCTTTATCATTTTTTATTGCATCTATTTGATTCTTCTCTCTTTTCTTCCTTATTAGTCTTGCTAGCAGTCTATCAATTTTGTTTTTTAAAAAAACCAGCTCCTGGATTCATTGATTTTTTTTTTGAAGGGTTTTTTGTGTCCTATCTCCTTCAATTCTGCTCTGATCTTAGTTATTTCTTGCCTTCTGCTAGCTTTTGAATTTGTTTGCTCTTGCATCTCTAGTTGTTTTAATTGTGATATTAGGGTGTTGATTTTAGATCTTTCCTGCTTTCTCTTGTGGGCATTTAGTGCTATAAATTTCCCTGTATACACTGCTTTAAATGTGTCCCAGAGATTCTGGTACGTTGTGTCTTTGTTCTCATTGGTTTCAAAGAACATCTTTATTTCTGCCTTCATTTTGTTATTTACCCAGTAGTCATTCAGGAGCAGGTTGATCAGTTTCCATGTAGTTGTGCAGTTTTGAGTGAGTTTCTTAATCCTGAGTTCTAATTTGATTTTACTGTGGTCTGAGAGACAGTTTGTTGTGATTTTTATTCTTTTACATTTGCTGAGGAGTGAGTGCTTTACTTCCAACTATGTGGTCAATTTTGGAATAAGTGTGATGTGGTGCTGATAAGAATGTATATTCTGTTGATTTGGGATGGAGAGTTCTGTAGATGTCTATTAGGTCTGCTTGGTGCAGAGCTGAGTTCAAATCCTGGATATCCTTGTTAACCTTCTGTCTCGTTGATCTGTCTCATATTGACAGTGGGGTGTTAAAATCTCCCGATATTAACTGTGTGGGAGTCTAAGTCTCTTTGTAGGTCACTCAGGACTTGCTTTATGAATCTAGGTGCTCCTGTATTGGGTGTATATATATTTAGGATAGTTAGCTCTTCTTGTTGAATTGATCCCTTTACCATTATGTAATGCCCTTCTTTGTCTCTTTTGATCTTTGTTGGTTTACAGTTTGTTTTATTAGAGACTAGGATTGCAACCCCTGCTTTTTCTTGCTTTCCATTTGCTTGGTAGATCTTCCTCCATCCCTTTATTTTGAGCCTGTGTGTGTGTCTGCATGTGAGATACATCTCCTGAATACAGCACACTGATGGGTCTTGACTCTTTATCCAATTTGCCAGTCTTTGTCTTTTAATTGGGGCATTTACCCCATTTACATTTAAGGTTAATATTGTTATGTGTGAATTTGATCCTGTCATTGTGATGTTAGCTGGTTATTTTGCCCATTAGTTGATGTAGTTTCTTCCTAGCATCAATGGTCTTTACAATTTGGCATGTTTTTGCAGTGGCTGATACCAGTTGTTCCTTTCCATGTTTAGTGCTTCCTTCAGGAGCTCTTGTAAGGCAGGCCTGGTAGTGACAAAATCTCTCAGCATTTGCTTGTCTGTAAAGGTTTTTATTTCTCCTTCCCTTATGAAGCTTAGTTTGGCTGGATATGAAATTCTGGGTTGAAAATTCTTTTCTTTAAGAATGTAGACTATTGGCCCCCACTCTCTTCTGGCTTGTAGAGTTTCAGCGGAGAGATCTGCTGTTAGTCTGATGGGCTTCCCTTTGTGGGTAACCCGACCTTTCTCTCTGGCTGCCCTTTACATTTTTTCCTGCATTTCCACCTTGGTGAATCTAACAATTATGTGTCTTGGGGTTGCTCTTCTCTAGGAGTATCTTTGTGGTGGTCTCTGTATTCCCTGAATTTGAATGTTGGCGTGCCTTGCTATGTTGGGGAAGTTCTCCTGGATAATATCCTGAAGAGTGTTTTCCAGCTTGGTTCCATTCTCCCCGTCACTGTCAAGTACACCAATCAAACGTAGATTTGGTCTTTTCACATAGTCCCATATTTCTTGGAGGCTTTGTTCATTTCTTTTTACTGTTTTTTCTCTAAACTTCTCTTCTTGCTTCATTTCATTCATTTGATCTGCAATTACTGATACCCTTTCTTCCACTTGATCGAATCGGCTGCTGAAGCTTGTGCATGCGTCATGTAGTTCTCGAGCCATGATTTTCAGCTCCATCAGGTCATTTATGGTCTTCTGTACACTGTTTATTCTAGTTAGCCATTTGTCTAATCTTTTTTCAAGGTTTTTAGCTTCCTTGCGATGGGTTTGAACATCCTCCTTTAGCTCGGAGAAGTTTGTTACTACTGACCTTCTGAAGCCTACTTCTGTCAACTCGTCAAAGTCATTCTTCATCCAGCTTTGTTCCATTGCTGGTGAGGAGCTGTGATCCTTTGGAGGAGAAGAGGCACTCTGGGTTTTAGAATTTTCAGCTTTTCTGCTCTGTTTTCTCCCCATCTTTGTGGTTTTATCTACCTTTGGTCTTTGATTATGGTGACCTACAGATGGGGTTTTGGTGTGGATGTCCTTTTTGTTAATGTTGATGCTATTCCTTTCTGTTTGTTAGTTTTCCTTCTAACAGTCAGGTCCCTCAGCTGTAGGTCTGTTGGAGTTTGCTGGAGGTCCACTCCAGACACTGTCTGGATATCACCAGTGGAGGCTGCAGAACAGCAAATATTGCAGAACAGCAAATATTGCTGCCGGAGCCTTCCTCTGGAAGCTTCGTCTTGGGGGCACCCGGCTGTATGAGGTGTCAGTCGGCCCCTACTGGGAGGTGTCTCCCAGTTAGGCTACAAGGGGGTCAGGGACCCACTTGAGGAGGCAGTCTGTCCGTTCTCAGAGCTCAAACACTGTGCTGGTAGAACTACTGCTCTCTTCAGAGCTGTCAGAGAGGGATGTTTAAGTCTGAGGAAGTTTCTGCTGCCTTTTGTTCAGCTATGCCCTGCCTCCAGAGGTGGAGTCTACAGAGGCAGGCAGGCCTCCTTGAGCTGTGGTGGGCTCCACCCAGTTGGAGCTTCCCAACCACTTTACCTACTCAAGCCTCAGCAATGATGGACGCCCCTCCCCCAGCCAGGCTGCTGCCTTGAAGTTCAATTTGGAACTGCTACGCTAGCAGTGAGCAAGGCTCTGTGGGCGTAGGACCTGCTGAGCCAGGCACGGGATATAATCTCCTGTTGTGCCATTTGCTAAGACCGTTGGAAAAGCGCAGTATTTGGGTGGCAGTGTCCCAATTTTCCCGGTATAGTGTGTCACAGCTTCCCTTGGCTTGGAAAGGGACATCCCCCGACCCCTTGTGCTTCCTGGGTGAGGCAATGCCCCGCCCTGCTTCAGCTCACCCTCCGTGGGCTGCACCCACTTTCCAACCAGTCCCAGTGAGAAGAACCAGGTACCTCAGTTGGAAATGCAGAAATCACCTGTCTTCCGCGTGGATCATGCTGGGAGCTGCAGACAGGAGCTGTTCCTATTTGACCATCTTGGAATGCCACCTTTTTTTTTTTTTTTTTTTTTTTAAGGCAGTTTCTTGCTCTGTCACCCAGGCTGGGGTGCAGAGGCATGATCACGGCTCACTGCAACCTCTGCCTTCTGGGCTCAAGTGATCCTCCCACCTCAGCCTCCCAAGTTGCTGGGACCACAGCCACGCATCACCAGGCCTGGCTAATTTTTGTGTTTTTTGTAGAGATAGGGTTTCGCTGTGTTTCCCAGGCTGGTCTCAAACTCCTGCGCTCAAGCGATCCGCCTGCCTCAGCCTCCCAAAGTGCTGGGATTACAGGCATGAGCCACTGCACCCGGCCAATATGTATGTTAATCTCATCCCTCAAGCTGATACTGAAGTTTTTCAATTTATGTTATTTGGTGTAAATCTAGGCAGTCTTTAACAAAATTGGTGCTTCATGTGTTTAAGAGGCATAACTTAAGAATTGTTTGTTTCTTATAAATCAGGAGAATGGAGGTTTAATAGAGGTGAACTGTCTTTCTCACTGCAGAACCTTTAATATGCCACTATGCATTGTAAATCTCCCAAGAGTGAGATTCTAGTATGATGCTTTTCTTTTCCTTTTCTGTTCTTTCCCTTTCCCTCTACCTCCTTTTTCTTTTCTTTGTTGGTGGCATGAGTCCTATATTATAAGGAAATGCTTTTAGAGTACAGTCTTCTGATATATAGTGATTTTTGAAAAAGATTTATTTATTGTCTTGTTCACTGTGAGCTTTTTCCCCCATGTATAAGCAGCTGTGTAATAGATTCAAGAGCACCCCCTCGCCCCTTTTTTTTTGAGACAGAGTCTCGCTCGGTCACTCAGGCTGGAGTACGGTGGTGCTGTGATCATGGTTCACCTCGACTTCTGGGCTCCAGCGATCCTCCCACCTCATCCTCTCAAGTAGCTGGGACCACAGGCGTGTGTCACCGTACATGGCTAATTTTTCTATTTTTAGTAGAGGCAGAGTTTCGCCATGTTTTCCAGGCTGGTCTCGAACTCCTGAACTCAAGCAGTCCACCTGTCTCAGCCTCCCAAAGTGCTGGGATTACAGGCGTGAGCCTCCACTCCCAGTCTCAAATATTCTTTTGAAATATTTGAAATATGTTGATCTCTCAGTCTTTCAACCTTAGTTGTATGTTGATTTTCAATAAAAAGGAAGTATTTGTTGCCCTAACATCAGTATTGGCTATTCAGTTTAAAAAAGGAGTTAAAGAGATGTTATTTATAGGCAGGCTTCAAAAGAGGAAAGAATGATCAGTTTCATTCTCTGTTTCTAGCATATTCTGACTCCTTCTCTCATATTACCTCGTTTTTCCCACATTTTTTCTTTAATAAAGTGAAATTCACATAACAGCTAACCATTTTAACCACGGAAAGTGTACATTCCGTGGCATTTATTACCTTCACAGTGTTACCTCTACCTTTATCAAGTTTCAAAACATTTTATCACCCCAAAAGAAAGCCCTGTTCTTATTGGGTGCCTCTTGCTTTTTTTTTTTTTTTTTTTTTTAAATCTTGAGACGGGGTCTTGGTTTGTTTCCCAGGTTGTAGTGCAATGGGGCGATCTCATCTCATTGCAACCTCTGCCTCCCGAGTTCAAGCAATTCTCCTGCCTCAGCCTCCCGTAGCTGGGACTACAGGCACGCGCCACATGCCTGGCTAATTTTTGTATTTTTAGTAGAAACGTGGTTTCACCATGTTGGCCAGGCTAGCCTTGAACTCCTGACCTTAGGTAATCTGCCTGCCTTGGCCTCCCAAAGTGCTGGGATTATAGGCGTGAGCCACCGTTCTGGCCACCTCCTACTTCTTTCATTAGTCTTAATTCCTTAGTGGATTTGACAGTGTTTATATTATCTACACCAATGCATTTTTTTGTATGTTAATAATAGGAGATATTTATTGGGCATTTATTTACATACTTATTTGCATGTGTAACTGTTGTATAGCCAGTTTATGTATATAATCTTACTAAATCTCTACAGTAAATCTATCCCCATTTCATAGATGGTTTAAAAGAAGTTAACTTCCCCAAGCATTACTTTTAGTAAGTAGTGAGACTGAAGGTTGAGTTCTGGTCTGTCAGATTCCGAAGTTGTTTCCTTAGGAACCATATTATCTTGTGTACAACTCTTGGGCTAATCTTGTTAATATTCTTTATTTGACCTCACACTGTTGATTCATACCATGTTTAAAATTGAAATACATTACCTATATTTAAAAATTGAGACCTCACATAAAAAGCTATATTTCTAGCTGCTTTTGAAATTTCGAAGGATCTTCCAACACTTGGCTGACATTCCTGCGTGACAAAAATCAGCTGGAGCTGTGTAATGTCCGACCTGTCTCTGTCAATGAACAGATTATTCATTGTCATTTCTCATCTGTTTTTGAGATTGTAACTTTGATTCTGTATAACTCATAGAATTAGTAGTTAGACCTATATATGTTAGTTATTACATTATTTGTATATGTACAGACTGCTTTAGACAATATTGTAGTGTTATATGTTAATTTTATCAATTAAAATGTGCTATAGGATCATTGTAGAGATCTTGTCTCTAATTAACAGGATTCATAAAGAGAAAACAAAGGAGAGAAACATCCAGATTGAAAAGACCTACATAGTGCCAAGCACAATAAAAGAAACCCTATACTAGGCAAATTATTATGAAATTTGTTTTAGGACACCAGAAATAAAGATAATATCTAAAAACTTTTTAGAATCGCCTAGGAGGGATTAGGAATATGAATAGCATCTAACTTGTTGGCAGTAGAATTGAAGGTAGAAGGTGGTAAAACATCACCTTGAAAGTTCTGCATTCAGCCTAGAATTCTGTATCCAGTTAAACCATCAATCAAGTGTGAAAGTAGGGGGAAAAACTCAAGGACTAAAAAAATGTGCTCATGAAGAACATTTTTTTTGGACATTACCCAGAAGATGTGGTTCAACAAAACAAGGGAATAAACCAAGAAAGGAAATAAAAGAGCTTCAGTAAACAGAGAATCCCACTCAGAAGCAACAAAGAAGAAAGTCCCAGGATGACAGCTGTGACACAAGCTGAAAAGTTACCAGTTTTGCTTGGAGCAGGAGATTAGAACTTCCGGGAAAATAATCAAATTGATAGATGGATGTTGAAATATTTGGAGAAAAATGTAATGGATTCTTGCAAAACTGAGCAAATTAGAAAAAGGAAACAATTATTAGCATTGGTGGTTTGAGTTAACCCAAAATTGTGATGTTGCTATTTTAGGGGAATTAAGATAAGTGAAACACGTATGGAATACTGCTAGTTTTGTAAGTCTCCTTTACCATGGCAGGACATCTGTAGTTAATAAATCTGTAAGAAGCAGTATTAAGAATAATATTTTAAAATACCTAATTAAATAGGAGGAAAAAGAATCCGAGTAGTTGAGGGTGATTGCATCTGGGGAGAAGCAGGAATAAAGGTTTGAAGATAAATAGGGCCAGAGATGAGTAATTTTGTTACTGTGATAATATATTTTATATATATGTGTATGTGTGTGCGTGTGTATATATATATATGAGATATATCTCATATATATGAGATATATATGATATATATATGATATATATGATATATATATATAAAACATACAGTTCAGTAGCATTAACATCTAGCATTCAGTACATTTACATTGTTGTGCAATTGTCACCACTGTCCATCTCTAGAACTTTTTCATTATCCCACACTGACATACCACACCCATTAAATAATAACTCCTCATTGCTCCTCCTGTTAGTACCAACCATTGTTCTACTTTCATCTCTATGTATTTGACTATTCTAGGTACCTCGTATAAGCGGAATCACGTGATATCTTTTTGTAACTGGCTTATTTCACTAACTATCTTCGAGGTTCATCCATGTTGTAGCAGTTGTTAGCATTTCCTTCCTTTTAAAAGGCCGAATAATATTCCATTGTTATGTATATACCATATTTTGTTTATCCATTTATTCATCAATAGACACTTTTGGCTGTTGTGAATAATGCTGCTATGAATATGGGTATGTAATACCTGTTTGAGTATCTGCTTTCATTTCTTTTGGATATGTACCCAAAAGTGAGATTGCTGGATTGAATGGTAATTCTATATTTAAATTTTTGAGAAACCACCATACTGTTTGATATACTGGCTGCCCAATTTTACATTACCACCAGCAATACACTAGGGTTCCGAATTTGCCACATCCTCACCATCGTGTTGTTTTGTTTATGTTTTTTTTTAATAATAGCCATCCTAATGGGTGTGAAGTCTCATTGTGGTTTTAATTTGCATTTTCCTAATGATCAGCGATATTGAACATTTGCACATGCTTATTTGGTCATTTGTATATCAGCTTTGGAGCAATGATGTCTCTTGAAGCCTTTTGCCCATTTATGAATTGAGTAGTTTGGGATTTTTAAATTGTGTTTTAGAAGTTCTTTGTATACTCTGGCTGGGCACGGTGGCTCGTGCCTTTGGGAGGCCGAGGCAGGTGGATCACGAGGTTAGGAGTTCAAGACCAGACTGGCTGGTATAGTGAAACCCCATCTCTACTAAAAATACAAAAATTAGCTGGTGTGGTCGGGCGTGATGGTGCACACCTGTAGTCCCAGCTGTTGGGGAGGCTGAGGCAGGAGACTTGCTTGAACCCGGAAGGTGGGGGGGTTGCAGTGAGACAGGATTGTGCCACTGCACTCAGCCTGGGTGACAGAGCGAGACTCTGTCTCAAAAAAAAAGAAAAAGAAGTTCTTTGTATTCTCTGAATATTAATCCCTTATTGGATATGTTATTTGCAAATATTTTCTCCCATAAAGAATGGGTTACTTTTTCACTCTGTTGATTGTTTCCTTTGCTGTGCAGGAGCTATTTAGCTTGAAAAAATCCAACTTGTCTGTTTTCTTTTGTTGCCTGTACCTTTGGTGTCACATTCAAGAAATAATTGCCAAATTCATACCATGAAACTTTCCCCCATGTTTTCTCCTGAAGGTTTTTATAGTTTTAGCTCTCACATTTAGGTGTTTGATCCATTTTGAGTTAAATTTTGTATATAATGTTATGTAAGAGTCCAGCTTCACACTTTTGGATGTGAATATCTAGTTTTCCCAGCATTATTTGTTGAAAAGAGTGTCTTTTTCCCCATTGAATAGTCTTGGCACTCTTGTTGAAAATTATTTGACAATAGATGCAAGGGTTTATTTTTGGGCTCTCTCGACTATTCTGTTAGACTATATGTTTGTTTTTTTATGTCAGGACCACCCTAATTTTAGTACTGTAGCTTTATAGTAAAATTTGAAACCAGGAAGTATATGTCTTGTGTATTTATTTACTTATTTTTTGAAATAGCATCTGGCTCTGTTGCCCAGGCTGGAGTGCAGTGGCACAATCTTAGCTCACTGCAACCTCCACATCTGAGGTTCAAGCAATCCTCCCACCTCAGCCTCCTGAGTAGCTGGGATTGTAGACACATACCACCATGCTCAGCTAGTTTTTGTATTTCTTGTAGAGACAGGGTTTTGCCATATTGCCCAGGTGGGTCTCGAACTCCTGAGCCCAAGCAGTCTGCCCTCCTCAGTGTCCCAAAGTGTTGCGATTACAGGTATGAGCCACCGTGCATGGCCCCAACTTCTTATATTTCAAGATGGTTTTGGCCCTTCAGGGCCCTTTGTGAGTTTTAGGATGGATTTTTTTTTTAACTTTTAAGTTTAGGGGTGCATGTGCAGGTTTATTACATAGGTAAATTTGTGTCAAGGTGTTCTGTTGTATAGATTATTTCATCACCCAGGTATTAAGCCTAGTACCCATTAGTTATTTTTCCTGAGCTCGCCTCCTCCCACCTGGATTTTTTTTTTTATTTCTACCAGAAACATTGTTGGGATTTTGGTAGGGATTGTATTAGTCTGTAGATTGCATTGAATAGTACTGACATCTTAACAATATTAAGTCTTTAAAGCCATGAACACCAGATGTCTTTCCATTTATTTACGTATTCTTTCTTTTCTTTCAGCAATGTTTTGTAATTTTCAGTGTACAAGTATTTTACCTCCTTGGTTAAGTTAATTCCTAAGTATTTTATTCATTCTGATGATCTTATAAATCTGTTTTCTTAATTTCCTTTCCTAATTGTTCATTCTTAGGGTATAGAAACACAACTGATTCTTCGCACATTAAATTTGTGCCCTGCTTCTTCGCGGGTTTGTTTATTCTTTTTTTGTGTTTGAAATCCTTGAGGTTTTCTGCATATAAGATTATATCATCTGCAAATGAGATAATTTTACTTGTTCCTTTCCAATTTGAGATGATTTTTATTCATTTTCTTAATGCTCTCTCATACATTCAATACTATGTTGAATGGAAGTGGTGAAAGCAGGCATCCTGTCTTGTTTCTGACCTTATAGGAAAAGCTTTCAATTCTTTGCCATTGACTATCATGTTAGCTATGGGATTTTTTTTTTCCCCCCAGATAGAGTCTCGCTGTGTCGCCCAGGCTGGAGTGCAGTGGTGCGATCTCGGTTCACTGCACCCTCCTCCTCCCGCCAGGTTCAAGTGATTCTCCTGCTTCAGCCTCCCAAGTAGCTGGGATTACAGGTGTCCACCACTATGCCCAGCTAATTTTCGTATTTTTAGTAGAAACATGGTTTCACCATGTTGGCCAAGCTGGTCTCGAACTCTTGGCCTCAAGTGATTCACCTGCCTCGGCCTCCCATAGTGCTGGGATTATAGTCAGCCACCATGCCTGGCCACTGTGGGATTTTTATATATGGCCTTCATTATGTTGTGGTAATTTCTTTTTATTCTTAGTTTATTGAGTGTTTTTATCATAAAATCTTGTTGAATTTTTTCAAATATTTTTTCTGTGCTAGTTGAGATGACCATGTGATTTGTTTTCTTCTTTCTATTAACATGATATATTGTTTTTCATATATTGAGCCATTTTTGCATCCCAGGAATAAATTTTACTTGGTCTTCGTGTATAATCCATTTAATAAGCTGTGGAATTCAGTTTGTTGGTTCTGTGTTGAGGACTTTATATCAATGTTCCTAAGGGCTACTGGTCTATAGTTTTCTTTTGTAGTTTCTTTGACTTTGCTATCAGGGCAATGCTGGCCTCATTGAATGTGTTAGGAAGTGTTTCCTCATCCATTTTTGGCAAAACTTTGGGAAAAAACGATGTTCTTTAAATGTTTGATAGAATTCACAGATAAAAAAATCACATCTAGGGCTTTTGTCTGGAATTTTTTTATTGTTATTATTGATTCAGTCTTGTTACTAGTTATAGGTCTATTCAGATTTTCTTTTTGTGTGTGTGATTCAGTATTAGTACATTTTGTACTTCTCGTTATTTCTCCATTTAATCTATATTATCTAATTTGTTGGCATACAATTGTTCATAGTACTGTCTTCTCTTTTTTTTAAACTTCTGTGCAGTTGATACTAATGTCCCTACTTTTATTTCAGATTTTAGTAATTTGAATCTTCTTTATCTTAATACAGGTAAAGCTGGGTCAATTGTTAAAATTTTTTCAAAGAACCAGTTTTTGGTTTCATTGATTTTTCTCTGTTATTTTTCTATTATTTATATCCTCTCTAAGCTTTGTTATTTCCTTCATCCTGCTAGCTTTGGGTTTATTAGTTTGTTCTTTTTCTAGTTCCTTAAGATTTGAAGTTGGATTATTGATTTGAGATCGTTTTCAATTAAATGTGTACAACTACAAATTTCCCTCTTAGGACTGCTTTTGCTGTTCTGTAATTTTTGGCATGTTGTGTTTTTTTGTTTTAATTTATTTCTAAGTATTTTCTAAGTTCCCTTGTGATTTCTTCTGCGTTTAACCGTGTATTTTTTAATTTCCACAGTTGGTGAATTTTCTACTTTTTCTTCAGTTATTGATTTTATTGATTTTCAGTGGCATCCTGTTGTGATAGAAGATACTTTATTTGGTTCCCTGTTTTTTTTTTAAAACAGAGTGTTGCTCTGTCACCCAGGCTGGAGTGCAGTGGTGCGATCTTGGCTCACTGCAACATCCACCTCCTGGGTTCGAGCAATTCTCCTGGTCTCAGCCTCCCCAGTAGGTAGGATTACAGGCACATGCCACCATGCCCAGCTAATTTTTGTATTTTTAGTAGAGACAGGGTTTCGCCATGTTGGCCAGGATGATCTCGAACTCCTGACTTCAAGTGATCCACCCGCCTTGGCCTCCCGAAGTGCTAGGATTATAGGCGTTAGCCACCTTGTCTGGCCCAGATCCTCTATTTTCTTGCCTATATTCTGACTGGGTGTTTTTGTCCATTATTGAGAGTAGGGTATCGAAGTGTCCAGCTGTTATTTCAGAACTGTCTGTTTACCTTCAATTCTGTCAATTTTTTGCTTCATATAATTGGGTGGTCTCTTATTAGGCATGTAAATGTTTTTGATTATTATATCTTCTTGCTATATTGACACTTATTGATGTGTAATATCTTTTTTGTCTCAACCTTGTTTTGATTTAGTTTGTCTAATATTAATGTAGCTACCTGCACTCTCATTTGGTTATTACTTGTATAGAATGTCTTTTTACATCCCTTATTTGTGTCTTTGGATCTGAAATGAGTCTCTTGTAGACAGCATATACAATCTCTTGTAGATTGTGTTTTTCTTATACATTCTGTCAAACTCTGCCTTTTGATTGAAGAGTTTTATCATTTACAATTAAAGTAATTATTGATAAGGATTTAACTGCTGCCATTTTGCTGTTTATTTTCTATATGCCTTACAGCTTTTTTGTCCCTCATTTCCTGCCTTACTGGCACTTGTGTTTAGTTGATATTTTGTGGTGAAGTGTTTTAATTTCCTTGTTATTTCCTTTTGTTTATATTCTGCTATTTTCTGTGTGTGTGTGTGTGTGGTTGCCATTGGGGGTCACATTTAATGCCCTAAAGTTATAACACTGCAATTTCAATTTATACCAATTTACTTTCAATAGCATACAAAAATTCAGCTCATAAGATTCAGTCCCTGCTCCCTTCCAGTTATTGATGTCATAAAATTACATTTTTATGTATTGTGTGTCTAAAAGCGTAGACTAATAATTGTTTTTTAATGCAGTAGTGTCTTAATTTGTGGAAAACAAAAAGTGGAGTTGTAAACCAATGTTACAATAATGCTAGCTTTGGTAATTGCTCATGTATTTATCATTTCTCAGATCTTTATTTCTTAATACAGCTTCAAGTTACTGTCTAGTCTCCTTTTATTTCAGCCTGAAAGACTCACTTCAGCGTTTCTTGCAGGACAGGTCTGGTGATAATGAACTCTCTCAGATTTTGTTAATCTGGAAATGTCTTAATGTCTTCATTTTTAAGGACATTTTTGCTGGATATAGTATTCTCAGTTGACAGGTATTTGTGTTTATTTGTTTGTTTCCTTTCAGGATTTTAAATATATCATCCCACTGCCTTCTGTCCTTCAAGAGTTCTGATGAGAAATCTGCTGATATTGAGGATCCCTTTGTATGTTACAAGTTGCTTCTCTCATTCCATGTTCAGGATTCTCTTTTTTCATAGTTTGATTATAATCTATCTCAGTTTTTCCTACTTGGATCTCTGAGTTTTTCCTACTTGGAGTTAATTGAGCTTCTTGAATATTTATATTCATGTCTCATCAAATTTGGGAAGTTTTTGATTAATATTTCTTCACATAATCTTTTTTGCCCCTTTTCTCTCTTTTTATTCTGGGATTCCCAGAGTGTGTATGTGTTGGTCCACTTGATGATGGTGTTCCACAGGTGTCTTAGGCTCTTGTCTTCAATTTTCCTTCAGTTTTTTTTTTCTGTTCCTCAGACACGTGGTATTTTCAGCTGTTCTGCCTTCCAAGTTTACTGATTCTTCTGCCTGCCCAAATTGGCTTTTGAATTCCTCTAGTAAATTTTTATTTCAGTTTTTGTACTTTTCAGCTCCAGCATTTATTTTTTGATTTTTTTATGTTTTCTCTTTATTGATATTTCAATTTTGTTTTTTGACATTATCCATATCTTCCTTTAGCTTTTTGAGCACCTTTCAACATTTGTTTTAAAGTCTATGTCTAGTAAGTGTCTGCCATCTGATCTTCTCAGGCACAGTTTCTGTTAATTTATTTTTTTCCTTTTGGCCTATACTTAATGTTTTGCTTGGGGTAGTTTTTTTTTTTGGTATGCTTTGTGATTTTTGTTGTTGTTGTCAAAAACTGGAATTTGAATCTTAAAGAGTGGTAACTTTGGAAATTAGATTTTTCTCTTTTCTCTAAGATGTGCTATTTTGTTTGGTTTTTTTATTTGTTGTAGAGTATTTCTATGCTGGGTGTAATCTTAAGATCTTCTCGGCCTGTGTTTTTCCCTGGGCATGTGTAGTGACTTTCTAAATTGCCCTATGTATGCAGTTCTTTTGCAGTAGTATCCTCCTTAAATGTTTGGCTCCTAAAAGGCAAAATAAATAAATAAATAAATAAAAATTAAAAATTAAAAATAAATCAAAGGGGTGAAATAGCTCTGGATCTTTAAATCCCTGGAGCAATTTTTTCAGCCAATGGCAGTTAAATAATGATAGTCTGCCTCTGTGTCACATTTTGATCAGAAGCAGCAATTAGCAATCAGAACACAGATTCCTGATATTTGGAGGGCAAGGTCTTTGTTGCCAACCTTGACTCTTACAAACTGTGTGCAGGGTGCTCTGGGAACATGTGCATGGTTGCCTGCTTTGAGAGTGGGTGATGGGTAGCCGCGACGGCACAAAGAGCTGAAATTGACTCAAACTAACTGATTTACCATTCAAGTCTTTCCTTAGAAACTGAAAACCTGAATAGACTCCAGAGTTCCAGAATCACAGATTCTGCTTACAGTCGTCTAGGTGGGGAGATGGGTTCCTGGTACTTCTGATTCTGCCATCTTTCTTTGACTAATTTTTTTTTTTTGTTCTTGAGATGGAGTCTTACTCTGTTGCCCGCCCAGGCTGGAGTACAGTAGCATGACCTCGGCTCACTGCAACCTCTGCCTCCCGGGTTCAGGCAATTCTCCTGCCTCAGCTTCCCAAGTAGCTGGAATTACAGGCGTGCACCACCATGCCTGGCTAATTTTTTGTATTTTTAGTAGAGACAGGGTTTCACCATGTTGGCCAGGCTAGTCTCGAACTCCTGACCTCAGGTGATCAACCCGCCTCAGCCTCCCAAAGTGCTAGGATTACAGGTGTGAGCCACTGCACCCAGCTCTTAGACAAATTTTTTATTCCAAACTTTTTTTATTTTATCATTTGAAAGGTATATGTTTATTATTTTGTCAAAAATAATTTTAAAACGTATTCTTGAAGCTTATTTAGATCTGTTTCATAGGAACTGTGAAGAAAGTAAAGAATTTAAAAAATGAAGACAGATTTTCTCACCCTGCTTATGGGTGCTTCTCGTGCTAGCCTTTTGCAAGTGTCGGGAAGTGTAACCTGCAGGAGGCATCAGGGCTTTGGGCCTGCATGGTCTGAGTGCTGCCCTGTGAGTTTCAGAAGGCGCAGCAACCTGTATACCTGAAAGCCATCTCTGCTGGGGCAGGTACCTAGTGTCCCCACCTACCTGGGTCGTAGTCAGGCCCTGGGCAAGCCTGCTATGCTTTTCCTTCCCTAATCCCTCAGGGGTGGGATAGAGAGCACAGTGGCCTCCCAGGGAGGTAGAAGCTGCTCCAGACTAACAATCAGAGCTGCCAGTTCTTAATCCCCAAGACCGCCAGACTTCACAAAGACATACCGAGGTCTGTGCTGTCAGTGCCCCACTACTACACTCCCTTAAGTAGCCCCACATTCTTGTGCTTGTTTCTTTTTTCTGCTCTCTTTCCTTGCCCAGGTAAGAGGTCTGCCCATAAGGGATATTTTGCAGCATGTGAAGCTTTTTAAAAAGTTAGGCTTATTGAAGTATAATTTACACACAAAGTACAAAAAAAAAAAGACTGTGTTCTCAAATCTGTGAGTCATTAATGGGTTTAGATGTTTATATATTGAAATTATTGGAAGTAAGGTATGTTTATATTAGAAAGATTTGTAGTCTAGATTATCCAAGTTTTGGGAGTATTACCTCTCTGCTTTTGTTTATCTACTTTTTTAGTCTCTACTTTCCAAGTATCTATAGGCAAATTTTCCCATTTCCCTTTGGAAAGTGCTGTTTTCTTGCTTTTTTTCCGCCTTTCCATTGTGTCAGACTTATAAGGCAATCAGCCAACTGTGGGCATGAAATCCTTGGGAGGAAAGAGAAGGAAGTGGGAGGGGCAGCCATGGTGAATGTTTCCCTAAGTTATAGTCAAGTTCTTTGAGAGAACATAACCTCATCCCCTTTTTAAACTGTTGTAATACTTTCTTTTAAATAGATTGTTTATTCTCCTGCAAGTCTCACAGTTGTTCACAGTGGTAGGTAAGAAATCATAAAGTTCAAATATTAAAGGGAGCTCACAAAAGAGCATGGTTTCACCAGCCCTCACTAAAAACAAAATTATGGGAAAATGCTGTAAAAGAAACCAGAATTCTTGGTTGCAAATGATAGAAAGTGACTCTGATTTACCTAATCAGAAAGGAATTTTTAAAAAAGTATTAGGTAGGTGGAAGCTAAGGGAAGCAAGACATGGCCCCAAGGTTTCAACAGGAGCAATCTGCTTAGGACTTTGCTGCTTGGACACTTGGTGTAATAGCTGCTGCCACTATGCCTCGAAACTGGTGACTCTGCTCATTAACTCACCTCCTCTGGTGATCTCTAGGAATAATCTCTGACTCTCCTGTACCTTGTCCTCACTAGGATTCGGTATCCACGGCAAAAAGATCTATTAATAGTTGGTATCAGGCCTGTACATGTGTTAAGAGAAAGATGAGGAAAGAAGTATCTGCTTCTAATCTCTTGAAATTATCTCCAAATTGAAATGGTATTTTGGTTGCCTAACAGCCTGAAGATGACAAATATCCCCTACAAATTTCTCCTATTTTACCCTCTTCCTAACTATATCTGTAATTTAAAGTTTCACATATTCTTTTGAAAATTGTTTTCATTGTTTACCCACTTTTTAAGAAAAGCAAATGGGAACATACTACCACTGTTTGGCCCCTTTCAAAAATTTTATATCTGAGGAATCTTCCATATTGTTGTGGACATCTACCTACCTGATTCTTTTATTAACTACCTTTTATTTCATTTTATGATCATGCTATCATTAATAGGCCCCTATGATGAATATATAAGTTGTTTCCAGTTTTTTTTTTGTCATTGAGAACAGTTCACATATGTATCTTGTTGTCTTTTCCAAGTATATCTTTAAGGCAAATTCTTAGCAGTGGAGTTGCTAGGTCCATTGCGTCTATGGTTTAAACTAGTGCCTTCAAAAATGGTATTTTATATACTCACTGTTTAAGAGTGCTTCTTCCTTCTATCCCCACTAACTTTGGCAAACTGAATAGTTTCAAACTTTAACTTTTTATAGCTTGTTGGCAAAAAATGGTATCTTGTTATTTGATCGTGTTTTTTTAATTGTGAGGTTTAGCGACTTTTTGATGTATTGGTCTTATGTACTTTCTGGTGTGTGTGTATGTATATACTGACCCTATTTTCAACTTATTTTTCTTTTAGTTTGTTTGTATTTTCCTTAATGATTTTCAGGAAACCAATTTTATTCTTTCTTCAGACAGTTGTCTAATGTTCTGCTTCTCTTGCCATTTGAATTTTGTGACTACAAAATTCAGATGAAACAATAATAGCATAAAGAACTTGGTGGGTTATCTTTTGTTTTGCATTATTGATTGTTTATTAAGAAATATTCTTTAAAAGTCACCTTGCTTAAATTAGCAAGTAGGAAATGCTTTCAATAAAGAGAACTGTCATGTACCCACTACTCCTTACTTACTGAATCATCTTCTTTTGGATAGAGAAGATAAAAGTGAAAAGGGAATTTAAGAGTTCCTGCCTTTTTCCTTGTCTTTAGCATTATATAGCTGTTTAATGTGTGGGAGTCTAATTTCTTTTTTCTTTCTTGAGACAAAGTCTCACTCTGTTGCCCAGGCTGGAGTGCAGTGGCACAGTCTTGGCTCACTGCAACCTCTGCCTCCCAGGTTCAAGCAATTCTCCTGCCTTAGCCTCCTGAGTAGCTGGGACTACAGGCATGTGCCACCATGCCCGGCTAATTTTTGTATTTTTAGTAGATATGGGACTTCACCATGTTGGCCAGGCTGGTCTTGAACTCCTGACCTCTAGTGATCTGCCTGCTTTGGCCTCCCAAAGTGCTGGGATTACAGGCATGAGCCACTGCACCTGGCCTAATTTTTTTATTGTTCTTTTTGGTGTGAACATTCTCCCCTCCTCCAAGCCTTTTGTTTTTACTATTTTCATGTTCCTTTATATGTGCTGCTGTTTTGTTTCATCTGTAATTATCTCTCATCCCCTTTTTTGGCTATTATAATATATATATGTACGTTTTGAATCTGAGCTTTGAAGGTAAATTCACTGCAGCTGTGTTGGTTGATTTTAGATAATTTGTGTATTTCCTCCTTTGTCTTTTTTAAACTGGAGTCATTTGTAGTTGTTTATACAGAATTTTAGTTTTTAAAACCACAAGTCTTTCATTATAGGTTGAGTTATGAATTCATAGCCTGTTATTTAAATGAAGCTTTTGAAATCTGTTTTACTGATCTGTATCATATCTAACTACGCCAGTATTTCCTTCCTTGTCTGACGTGAACTCTAAAATTATGTGAACACTTTCTCCCTGTTTCCTGGCATTTCCACTCAAACTTGTTCCTCATTCTTAGTTAGAAATATATCCAGAATTGTAGTTTCTTTCTAATCTAATGACAGAAGCAAATTAATCAAGCATGGCAAGAATTTATTGGAAAACTGCATGTAGTTGAAAATATGTTTAGTATATATTTTGACAGCTGTGAAGTCTCTAATTTTTACTGTACCTTTTCTCTGTTCCAATTTTATGCTCTATTCTAAGGATGTACCCATTTCTACTACCTGACTAGGGAGCATGTGTATTGTATCCCAGCAGATTTTTTTTTTCATAGATAGATATCCTTTAGATATCTGTTATCCAGTGTAGGTAGCCACTAGCCACATGTAGCTATCATTATGTTTAAATGTAAATAAAATAAAATAAATTTACTGAGTTGTTTTTGCTAGCTACATTTCTTGTGCTCAGTAGCTACATGTGGCTTGTGATTACTGTATTAAGACAGCACAGATACAGAACATTTTCATTATTGCAAAAGTTCTGTTAGACAGTGCTGTTCTATACAGTGTCATTCTGCCTCTCATTCTAAAAAGTTCTAATTCCTGAAGTTGATGTACTCTTTCTGTTGCTGTCCTCTAGCTTAATCAAAATAAATTTGAGTCTTTTTAAAGGTAGGTTGCATTTTACATACTGATATTTCTAAATCAGAGGCTATTTATATTACTTTTTTTATATTACTTTTAAAAATTAGCTTTATTGGAGTATAATTTACATGCAATAAAATCTACCCATTTTAAATGTACGGTTCATTGACTTTTGAGAAATACACACACACACACACACACACACACACCTTCTTGTAAACACACACCTTCTTGTAAACACAACAACCAAGATTTAGAACACTCGCTTTATGAAAAGTTTCCCTCATGCCCATTTGTAGTCAGTCCCCAAACCTGGTTTCAGGCAATCTCTGATCTGCTTTCTATATGCTTTGCCTATACTAGGATTACATATAAATACAGTCATATAGCATGTATTCCTTTTTGTGTCTGGCTTCTTTCTTTTAGTATAATATTTTTGAAATTTATCCCTGTTGTTACTAGTATCAATAATTTGTTCTTTTTTATTGCTGACTAATATTACATTGTATGGATATGACATTTCTTTATTAGTGTGGTGGGCATTTGAGTTGTTTTCAGTTTGGGTCTGTTATGAACAAAGCTGCTGTAAGCATTCATGTGCAAGACTTTTGTGGACATATATTTTTGTTTCTGTTTATTCAATACCTTTGAGTAGAATTGTTGGGTCACATGATGTAGATCAGTTGAACAGAGTAGATTCCAGAAAAGTTCACATACACATTTCTTGACAAAGGTGCTGAGATTATTCATGGGAAAAGGATAATCTTTTAAACAAATAATACTGGAACAATAGAGAAAACAAAGTGAACCTTGACTTTTATGTCTTATCATATACAAAAATTAATTTGAAGTGGATTGTTGACCTAAATGTAAAAGTAAAATTTAAAAATATAAAACTTCTAGATGAAAACATAGGAGAAAATCTCTGTGACTTTTGGTTTAAAGATTTCTTAGACAGTACATATAAAATTAACTATATAAGGAAAAAATGGACAAATTTGACTTTATCAACATTAAAAATTTCTGCTCATTGAAAGACTCAAAATGAAAAGGCAAGCAGTTTTGGAGAAAATATTTGCAATACATATATCTGAAAAAGGACTTGAATGTATAATATATACATAAAGATGCTCTTACAACTTCATAATGAGAAAATAACCCCATAAAGAGAAGGGCAGGCCGGGTGCAGTGGCTCATGCCTATAATGCCAGCACTTTTGGAGGCTGAGGTGGGTGAATTGCTTGAGCCCAGGAGTTTGAGACCAGCCTGGGCAACATGGTGAAACCCAGTCTCTACAAAATAAAAAAATACAAGAAATTAGCTGGGCATGATGGCATGCACCTGTAGTCCTAGCTGTTTGGGAGGCTGAGGTGGGAGGATAGCTTGAGCCTGGGAGGCGGAGGCTGCAGTGAGCTGTGATCGCACCGCTGCACGCTTGCCTGAGCAACACAGTGAGATCCTGTCTCAAAACAAACAAACAAAAAAAAAAACAAAAAATGGAAACAGAAATTTTACAAAAGAAGATATATAGATGGCCAGTAGGCATATGAAAAGATGTTTAAAATCAGTCATCAGGGAAATGAAAATTTAAACGTAATGAGATAGCTCATATTTACTGGAATGGCTCAAAAAGGGCTTACAGGAATTGGCAAAGACATAGATTAACTGGAACTCTTATGCATGTTGGTTAGAGCACAAAATGATATGATTTCTTGGGAGAAATATTTGGCAGTTTTTAAGATTATTTTTGATAGCCTTCTGAATTTCTTAGTGAGTTATAGGTCAGTTCTGCCACTGTTTCTTTCTTTTCTTTCTTTCTTTCTTTCCTTCCTTCCCTTCCTTCCCTTCCTTGCCTGTCTTGCCTGCCTTCCTTGCCTTGCCTGCCTTGCCTTCCTTTCTTCCTTTCTTCCCTTTCTTTTCTTTCTTTTCTTTTTTTTTTTAAAGGAGTCTCGTTTTGTTGCCCAGGCTGGAGTGCAGTGGCACGATCTTGGCTCACTGCAACCTCCACCTCCCGGGTTCAAGCAATTCTCCCTGCCTCAGCTTCCCCAATAGCTGGGATTACAGGCGCGTTCCACCATACTTGGCTAATTTTTTTAATTTTGGCAGAGGCAGGGTTTCACTGTGTTGGCCAGGCTAGTCTCGAACACCTGACCTCAAGTGATCTGCCCGCCTTGGCCTCCCAGAGTACTGGGATTACAGGTGTGAGCCACTGCGCCTGGCCTGGCACTGTTTATTTCTTTTCCCTCCAGTTTTATACCTATTTAGAGAGATTAGATTTTCTTGAGTACTAGGAATCACTATTTTTGAGCAGAATTATTCAAAACTGTTATTATTTTTTCTTTAACTTGAGGCAATGTAGGAGAAAGCAGTACTGTGCAGGTGAAAGTTACAAACAAGAACATTTTAAACAAGATAGTTACTTTCCATGTATTGGATACGTAACAGAATTAATTCTAATAACCATCCTGAAGATGGTCAGGAGGCATTAGTTAAGAATTGAAATGTTTGGAGCTTGCCTGTGTTGATGGGATTAAGGCAGGGATGATTTATGTGTAAATTTATGCGTTAGTAACAGCAGTAACCGCTGTAGTTACACTAGGGTTCTAAGAGCAAATGTTGATTAAACATGAATGTAGCAGGAGTGATAAGGTTTGGCTCTGTGTCCCCACCCAAATCTCATGTGGAGTTGTGATCCTCAGTGTTGGAGGAGGGGCTTGGTAGGAGGTGATTGGATCATGGGAGTGGTTTGTAATGGTTTTAGCACTATCACCCTAGAGCTGTCTCGCGAAAGAGTTCTCCTGAGATCTGCTTGTATATAAGTGTGTAGCACCTCCCCTCTTTGCTCTCTCTCTTCCTCCTACTCCTGCCGCGGGGACGTGCTTGCTTTCCCTTGGCCTTCTGCCATGATTGTAAGTTTCCTGAGGCCTCTGATTAAACCTTTCTTCTTCTAAAAGATTACCCAGTCTCAGGTAGTTCTTTATAGCAGTGTGAGAATGGACTAATACAAGGGGAAATATATATGGTTACCAAATAGCGAATTAGCCATGGGAAAAAGTAGCAAATAAATAATTATTTTACTTTTTCAGATGCTAATTTTTCTTTTCGTTTATTTTAGGATTGGTGGGAGCTGTCCAATGTCCTTAGGCTGTTTTCCAAATGAGATACCAAAAGCTAGTTCTCCATCGGGTTTCTCAGGCTGCTAGAAGCATTCATTATTATGGTTGTCATTACTTCGAGTTCTGTTGCCGCTATGCCCACAGTAGTATTTGTTACATAACAGGTGCTTGATAAATATTTGCTAAATGAATTTTTGGAAAATACAATCTGCCACACCTTTCTTCTACAGTTTACAATCTTCTGTTGAGATCATCCGATAGATTTTTTTTCTTAGATATTGTACTTTTGAGGCCTCAAATTGCTGTCTTTTGTATTTTCTATGTCTGCAGAGACTTTCCATCTTTCACTCATTGTATTCATTGTTTTTTAACATCTTTGTACATATTTATAGTAACTGTTTTAAAGTCACTGTCTGTTAATTCAAACATCTGGTTCATCTTGGAGTCTGATTCTATTGCCTGCTCTTTTTTCTTTGTAATAGGTCATGTTTTTCTGCTTTGCCTGTCTAGTAAATTTTAATCGTATGTTGAAATGTAGGGAGTTTGGATTGTTACTTCCTTTAAGGGTGCTGAGTTTCATTTTGTCAGGCATTTAAATTGATAGTTGATTTAGTATTGTCAGGTTTGGTTCTCTTTGTTAAAGCAGGCATTTTTCAGATTTGTCTTTTGTCCTAGGGCATGGTTTTTAACTTCAAGGTTGCCCTTTCCAATGTCTCAGCTAAGTATCTGGGGTGTTCCATGAGGTCTCTTCCACTTTGCCTAGGCCAGAACTCCAGCTTCTCCCAGTATTATATTTCGTTACCTCTGGCGTCATCTCCGTTATGCTTTCAGATCCTGCGCATAGACAGCCCAGCCCCCAGCCAAGGACCTGAGATGAAATCCATACAAAATTCTTAGTCCCTTGCTCCACAAACTCCAACAGCCTTAGCAGTCTAATCTCTTCCTGTTTACCTCAGTGAAATCTGTGTTCCACTTGAGTTCCATTTCCTTCTGTATCAGAGAAGAGCCACCATGCTGAAAGCAAGGGGCACTATGTTTCTTTGTTCTTAAGGATGGTAGCCTATCTGCAACAACTGTAGTGTGATATAAAAATATATAATTTATGTTGCTGACAGTTACAAATACTGCTTGCAGTACTTTGTAACATAATTTTTCAGATTCAAGTTCATATACTCTTTTTTTCCACATCACCACACACATATTTTCAGACTTCCTCCTCATCCTTCTTCTTGCCAGTAGTTGTATTATAATTCCTGCCAGTAGTTACATTATAATTTTGGTTATATCAATATTGAGTTTTTATGGGATTATAACTAGATAAATGCCATTCATAGTTAAGTGATAGAGTATATTGTGACTTTTTTCCTGCATGTTTTATTTTTTCTGGACTTCACAGTTGTCTCTCTTTTTTTTAAAAAAATTAGTTTTCAATGTTCTTAGCTTTAATTCATAAACTCACCCCTAATTGTATAAATCTCTCAACATGTTTAAGCACATTTGGCATTATATCAATTTTATCTTTTCCAGGTGCCTTCTAATCTGTCCCAGTCTGGACTAATTGTTCTTCCTGGCTTGCTGTATGGCTGTCTACTCAAGATGTCCCTTCACCATCATTCTAGGGATTCCCTTTTCCTCTCTTGTGGGTTAGATTCTTCAGTTCTTGGAGACTGTCATCTTCTTTCATGGTTTCCCACTCTTGTTTTGGCGGAGCACATCTTTAGTAACTTCCTGACAAAGTGTATGGTTTGAGATTTCGCTGATTTTAAAATGCCCTTATTATATAGTCACACTTGATTTATAGTCTGTCTTGGTATAGAATTCTAGGCTGAGAAGAGTTTTCCCTCAAAATCAGAAGGTTTTGCCCAATTGTTTTTTAGCTGCTAGTATTGCTGTTAAAAAGGATAATGTCATTTTGATTCTAGATTCTTTTATGAAACCTGTTTCTTCTCTGGCAGCTTTTAGGATCTTCTGTTTCTTTGGTATTCAGAAATTTCATGAGATATGTGTGCTTCTATTTTGGTCTTATTTTCATCTGTTTTGCCAGGTACTCATGCAACTTTCCAGTTTGAAAACTCACATCCTTCACTTTTGAGTATTTTTCTTGAGTTATGTCTTCGGTTTCTTCTCAGTGTTCTCTGTTTCTGGAACTCCTAAAATATATTTAACATCCTGAACTCTTAGTTTTTGTTTAGTCTTCTGATTTTCATTTGTCTTTTTATTCTGTATATTCTGTTAATTCCTCGGCTTCATGGTCTTCTAGCCCTTCTTTTGCCTATCTTATGGGGTTGAGGATTAAACAGTTTATATACCTGAGGTGCTTAGGATATGTCTGTCATATAGTAAGTGCTTGTGTTAGCTGTAATTGTTGTTTACTTTCATAACTGTCTTGAGGGAAAGGTCTTTGGTCTTGATTCTTTGACTTCTTGGCTGTACATGACCTTGGACGAGTTATGTAATCTCTTTGAGACCTACCTCCCTCTTCTGTATAGTGTTAATAAGCTCTAGCTCTCAGATGTTTGTGAGGGTCGAATGGAGTATATATGTGAAAATGTTTAATACCTTTGTACAGAATTAATAGTTAGTACGTGGATCTTTCAAATATCAAAAGTTTTCAGTTTGATGGGAAAATGATGTCTGAATTTTCAGGGTTATTTTTAAGAGTACTTGATTATGACTGTCTTGTAAATCTCTATGAGCTAGGTATACTTGCACTAAATGCTAATGCTTTTTAAAGAAGTTATGTCTTAATATTCAGTCTCATTATGTTAGGTTGAAGATAGAAGATTATGAAAATATTCTCTGAAAAGCTCTGGTTTTACTTCAGATTGTATAAATCTGTGTAATGTAATAATTATTTAAGAATGACATGATTACTACTCTAAACCCATAGAAGGGGTATTTGTTGGATTATTTATTTTCACTTAAATGGTATTTGAGATTAGGAAAAAGAAAATCTGTCTTTTGGTTTTTCTTGATAGTATTAATGTAATTTCAAATGTTAGCTCATTTTTGTTAATGGTGGCTTTTTGTTTGTTTGTTTTGTTTTAAGGTTTTTGGATTCAAAGCATAAAAACCATTACAAGATATACAATCTGTAAGTATGTTTTCTTATTTGTATGCTTGCAAATATCTTCTAAAACAACTATTAAGTGAAAGTTATCTGCTTGTTAGAGTGAGGTAGAGTTAAAGATACATTTTAACAGAATTGTATTCCTAAACCGATTAAGTCAAGAAGTCCAAGAGCATTGTTAGATCATTTAGAAAGTGTAGTGATGAGGTAAAACATTGTTGGCACAGATTCATGTTACTTGATCTGCTTTAAATGACTTGGCATCTAGCCCATATTTGAGCCCATAACCGTGTGGTAATTTGAAGTGTAATTCACAGTAGAGCTTCTGTTAAAGCACTAATAGCATCTTCCATGGAGGTATACTTCAGAGTGAATATAATTTTGTTTATCCTGTGTCTCTAGAGCTATTGACTGAAAAAGCTGTTAGGGCATTCTCTAACTGTACATCACCTAAGTTATTTAAAATTGCTGAATTAGGTGGCTTGTCTTGTCTAGGACAGAGTTTTAAGGACTGCCCACCTGATTGATAGAGCTAGTTGACCTTATCTTTAACTTTTTGTTTTTCTTTTGACTTTGGGAGTAGAGATGTGAAAAGGTAAAAAGGAAGGAAGGAAGAGAAAACTTAACTCTTTTTGCCCATGAAGACTGTTTTTCCTTCTCAAAATATTGACTATTTTCTGATTTGTAAAAATCGGCACATAAAACGTGTTATTTTTTACTTGACTTTTATCTTTCCCATGTGATATCTATAAATTATAGATAGGAAAAATTTATCTGTAATTTAGTGATCTTTCTAGTGTGATAAAACGTCAGAAGTACTGAGAGTGGAGTGGACATTGATATTGTTACTCTCAGTAAGTTTTCACTGATTTTTCTCAGAGTCATGAAGGAACAAACGTTTGTTAAGTCCTTATCACTTATTAGATAACACAAAACATGTTGGGGGGGTGTGTACAGAGGTGAGTAAGATGTAGCTCCCATTCTCAAGTCGCTTACATTCTAATGTAAAAGGTAGACAAAGCATTACAGAAGAAGTAACTCTGCTATAGAAGGTTGCAATGAAGAGAACATTGGAAACACTAATTTTACCTTATAAAGAAGGTTTCATAAAGGAAGGCAAGTTTGAGCTGGGGTGAAAAGGACCAGTAAGGGTTGACTTTCAAGCCAAGGAGAGGAGGGGAAGTGATGTTACAGGCCAAAGGAATGGCATTGTAAGAAGCTTGTTGGCATAAAAGTGTTTAGAATATGGCAGCGAATTCATTATCATCAGATTGTGGTGTCTGTATGTTGGGGGTGGGAGAGAATTGTGGTGGCAATAGGCAACAAGATAAAAGAAAGTAAAAGGTGTTATGGAAACTTAATGGGTCCAGCTTACAAATGATCTATGCATTTAGGGGTCTTTCTCTTTTCCTGATAAACCTCTCCTACAAAGAGCCTTGTTGCGGATACCATAGTGTTTCTTTGGAGGAAAATAAAAACTACAAAGCTTTGTATTTTTTGCACAACTGGATTCAGAATATAAGTAATAAAAAAGGACAAGAACTTTCAAAAGCTAGAAGCCATTAAACTGAGTCACTTCAGGGTTAGACTATCAGAACTGGGGATTTAGAAAGTCTCAGAATGGAAATCGAAGGACACCAAAGACAAATTCGGCCTTTTTCAAAATTTTATTCTAGTTTAACATATTCAAAGAAAGGGAAGGAAATTCTTTTCATTCCTGTGTGTAGTGACTTCCTGCTTTAAGAACTTAGGACTTCAGCTGTACTATCAGTATTGTAGGTCACTTAACATTATTATGGTTAAAGTTGGCATTGGAGAGAGCCTAGGAACCTAACTGCCTGTTTGTTTTTATATTTCCAACCATTGGATTCCCAAGTTAATGAAGTCTGTTTATTAGTTGAGGGTAGCTCTTAATGCATATATTTTAATGCCCCTTCCCCACATGGAATCATAAGCTTTCAGAACTGGAGAGTACCTGAAAGAGATCATTTAGTCCAACCTTCTCATTTTACAGATGGGGAATCTGAGGCCTAGAGAAGTTAAGTGAGTTGAACAAGGTCACACAGGTACATATGGTAGCCGACCATCCACTGTTTATGCCAATATTCCCTTTACGTTTTGCTTTTTTGCTTGTTCGTTTTAACCTCTCCAAATTTTACTGACTTCAGAAGTTTCTAGAACTAAGTTATAGCATGTTTTGAGTTCTAATGTCACTTTCCGATCTTCTTTACCTTTTTTCTACCTCTGTTTGTATTTCTGGTTCTGGTTAAGTGAGTCTGGTAAGCAGCAGGTGTTCTATTTTATTTCTTTTATTTTTAGGATAGTATTACATGTGATATATATGTCTTTGCAAACATACATAATTTGAAGATCTTAAAATATTTGCACTAGGCATACCCACATTTAATAGTATGTTAAATCTTTTATAGCAATTATGATATACATGGGTGAAGAAGAGTTCCTAATATGGCCTTTCTGATTAACTGTATCTGTTTATATCTGTGTTTTCTTCAGGCATTCATAACATTAAGCAAATTCAGGTGTACTGTTACTTAATTGAATTAATCAGTTTGTTTTGTACAAGTATATTTTATTTTTGTTCCTTGTTGTATAATCTGGTAGGAATGGGGAAGGGGAGATAGTGAATAAAGAGATGTATACTTCTTGCCTTTGAGGAATTTAAGTTTTCACTGTATACCAATTTTTTAAAGGTATTTACTATATTTCAGTGCATATTTTATTTGACATACTTTATCATTTTGTGGTAAACCTTTAGCTTTACTAATTTTCATCTATTAAGTTTTCTTTTGTAAGATGGTGATAGCTTCATCAAAGAGAGTAAAGAAGAGACCTGCCTACCTAGCTGATTCTATGGCAAATCTCACTTCTCTGGAAGCTTTTCCTGTTAATCTTATTCCTTCAGTTTCTGCCTCTTGTTTCATAAAAACTCATTCTTTAAATGCTTATTCATTTCTCTTGTCTCATATAAACCAATATGAGGTACTGGTATCTTTTGAGTTTTAGTTATAAGGAAGCATAAATGGTTAAATTTAAATGGCTAAACCCCATTTGCCATTTGTGTATCTTTAATTTTAGTTTGTTGAGAGACTTATCACTACCAAACCACAAAGAATTTAAAAGAAACTGTCAGTAGGTATAGGTGGAAGGAGGGCATTTATCAGAGATTTTAATTTAAGAAGAAAGTCTTCATCCTTATCCTACCAACCCCCATTCCCTGAGCATATTTATCATTACTAGTCCCAGCATATTTGCTCCCATATTTCCTATGCTTACCTGTGAAGATTTTCATAACTTTTTCCTTGCTTTTTACTGTCACTGTTGGTTCTGTGATTTATGACAGATACTGCTCTTGTAGGAATGCTGGCTTTGACTGAAATTTGTTACTGCTTTTGTATTTAAAACTTTTTTTTTATTATAAGTAGAATTATGGAACAGTAGTAGAAAAAGTTTGACTTTTGTAATCAGAGATACTGAGCTTGAGTTCTGGCTCTTTCATTTGTATACTGTTATTTGGGGCAAGTTTTTTAATGCTCTTAAGTCTTAGCTTTCTCATATATAAAATGGAGATAATAACAGTTATCACGTGATTGTGAGGATGAAACAAAAAAAAGTGGAAACTCTTTGTAAGGTGTGTTCATCTGGTTGACACTTAGTAGTCATTACTTCCACTTTCCGTCCATATAGTCCTCTTAACAGTAATATTTGAGAGGCATTTTTATTAAAGCAGTCTTAAGGAGTGTTCGTCAAACCACATGTTCTGGGATCCTGAGAAAGTAGGGGAAGTTTAGAGAACTGAAGCTGCACAAAACTAATGTTTATTTTCTGTTGTGTTGTCCTGAGACCAGCTTCTTAGATTGTGTTTCCTAGTCCTACATCTCTGATTCCTTATAAAATATTCCATTATGAATTCTTCACTATTGACAATTTCTCCCCTTTTATCTTAAAAGTACCAAAGAAAGTGTAAAATGTGACTGTCTTGTCAGTCCTCTTTTTCCTGTTTTTCATGTCAGTGGGTATGAAATTACTAGCAAGGATGCATATATGTGCATATGTCATTACTAAATGCATTTTCTTTCTAGAAAAACTCAATATACTAAATTGTACTAAAAAGGAAAAGCTTGTTTTGTTTTGAGTGGTAGTATGAAAGTTGTTTTATTTTAGGTCTGACCAGTTAGAAACCAATGGATTGTAGTTTATTTATAATTAGTTAAACCTTCATGTGAATTTGGTTTTGAATTACCTTTAAGGTAGAGAAGAAACTATATAGATGTTTTTCAGGGTTTCTAAATGTACAATACAGGTTCACAATCACTTATTTGAAACTCTTGGGGCCAAGTATGTTTCCATTTTCAGAAATTTTAGTTTTCAAAAGGTAGCACAGATAAATATACTTTTACATAAACACCCCAGTGGGGTGTGGGTCAGTACCTGAAATGAAATGTTTTACTCTTCGCTCTAAGTGTATTAAATATTATGTACAATCTTATTACTTCAGATCAGGATTTGCTGTAGTTGAGTTTGCCATAAAACTTAAGAGAAAATTTTAGATGTTTTGAACTTTTGGGATATTGAAATTGCAGGTTAAGGAGCTATGGACCTTTATTTGTTTTAAAATGCTAAGAGTTTATTTTAAGTAATTTTTAAAAAATTTGTTTTGCATAGTAGTTGGAGTTACCAGGGTACTGCTAACCACACTGATATGTAAGATCTCTTTCTGAGCCTTTTATTGTTTGTAAACATGGCCTGTTAATCATTAGAAAGCCAGTACATACTAACATATCACTGCTATTAAGACAAATATTAGCATACTCTAGTAATGACAAGTCAGCATTTTACTATTCTGTATTGATTTTACTTATTCTTTCATTACTCTCATACTGTAATTAAAACTTGCAATCTGAGAGACTGTTGAAAAAGGTGATCGTTGGCTTTTCAACAGGGAGTAAGGTCTGGTTTAAAAAAAAATTAGTAAGCATTTGGCCAAGTAGATTAACAACATTCAGTTTTTCTTTACTGTCCTTATGCTTTTACTATTTTTAACATATATCTTTTTGAAGAATAGTTTGAGAATTATGTATGCTTAACTATGAGATACAGATACTATTGAAACTAGTCAGTTGTTTATAGGTACTTGTAAAATTAAAAATATATTCCAATAGCATGCAGATTTTTCATAGAGGAAATTTGAAAGCATGGAAGCACCTGAATTTACAGTACTCTGTATTAGTGGCATCACAAGTTTTTAAGCAAATGTATTAGCTCTAATTGCATACACTTAATCTTTTAAGCTTTGGTTTTATTATTATAATATGGGGGTGATAACAGTATCTACTTAATAGAATTCTTGTTATTACATGAAATAATTAATGTTAAACACAGCATAATATGTGTCACATTATAAAGATTCAGGCAATGTTTGTTAGTATTAGTACTTTTTTTTCTTCCTAAGTGCAAAAGATAACTTTATATCACTTTTAAACTTTTCTTTTAGTTGTGCTGAAAGACATTATGACACCGCCAAATTTAATTGCAGAGGTAGGTATGAATGTACTGTACTATGTTGTATAACTTAAACCCGATAGACTGTATCTTACTGTCATAACAATAATGAGTCATCCAGATTATCGAGTGAGATACATATTTAAGAATTATCTTTAAAAATTTCAAAAATTTTAATTTTACTGTTGTGTTTTAGGAAAAAGTATTGCATAAAGCTATTAATATTGTCAGGAAGACTAAAGTGCAGCATAGACTAAGAATTAGGAAAATTCCTAGACTAAAAATAGTATAAGGAGAGGGTTTACCTACTATTTGAGGCAGTTGGTCTAATAGTAAGCAATCACAGGGAGAAAGCAGAACTACTTAACTCTTCTGTGTTGAGGAATGACATAAAAGGTAGGAAAGGATATAACAAATGTTGATAAGAGGAGTCTGATGGATGAGAGGAGGGAACTGCTTTAAATGAGTTTCTACTTCAGACATAAGTTAATTCTCAGAGCCCACAAAAACTTTCACTTTTATTTGTGAAATACAACTCAGTTCTCATGGCTTAACACTTTAAACCATGAGAAAACTGAAGAGTTGAGAAGCTTGGCAGATGCTGCTGTGATAGTCAAAAAGAAAGTGGGTGCCATGAGCTACTATTGATGTATTTGCCATTGATCCCTCCTGAAAATCTAGAATGGACTTTCAGACAAATGGTTTGAAAATTCTAAATCACTAATGATTGAGATTTAGTATAGGTTTACTAAGAACGGGTTTTTTTTGTTTTTGTTTTTGGTGGATTTAGGCTGTTGCTTACTAAGCAAAGCAGGCTTTAGTTGAGGTTTATCTTGCTTTAAACAGATATTTAACAGATTTTCCTGGAGGTTTTTGTGTACCACTGGGAAAATGAAGTTAGGCAGATGACTAAGTGAAAGCTGTCCTGCTGACTCCTTATAATGATAGTCATTGTCTACCAGAAGATCTCTCCTGTCACACCAAAGGATAATTGATTATATCCTGTACCATATTATGAGTCACCTGATTGGAGATATAAGACATACTTCTCACATATTTAGATGACACAGGTTAGTACATTGAATATCAGCCAGGGTTTTTAAGGATCTTAATAGAGTGGAACTAAGGTAGAAACTATTAAGAGCAATTAATAGTGATATATCTATAGTCCTGTTTCTAAACAAGTTTTTTTAAAAACCTCAACTCTGACTATAGTGAACAGAGAAGTCTTGGACTCTTACAATTCATGTGAGAAGACCTGAAACTTTGATAACAATTATATACATTTTGTGAGTAATTTCTTTGGTGTATGCCTTCACATATCTCTGGTATGTGACCTATGCTGCAGTCCATTGAGCATAGATTCCCAGAATGTATTCTCCTGCAGAAAATGGAGGAAAATAATACTTGGCTTCCCTAATGATTACATGTGTATACAACACTAACATTTGCAAGACCACCTTTAAATAACACACTTAGCATTTTTATTTTATGAAATGTAATATGTAGTTCTTTGCATAGTTTATCCTATTAGTAATCTATTCTGTCTTTGGAATATGTTTTGTGATGATGAAATAAATACTATAAATAGTATTATTCCTTTTGCATTGAGAGTCCTGACGAAATGTCCATGTGACAGTTCATTTTGGGTTTAGCTCTACCTCTAATATGTGACCTATGCTACCAGTCCGTATAGCGTAAATTCCCAGAATATATCCTCCTGAATAAAATGGGGGAAAATAATACCTGGCTTCCTTAATGATTATATTTAAGACTTATCAAGAGACTATTTTCTATTTAACAATTAGAAAGTTAAGCAATACATTATTTTTCTCTGGAATCCAGTGTTTCTTTTAAATACCTGTTAAGTTTGTATGCAACATTTCTAAAGTTACCTACTTGTTAATTAAAAATTCAAGAGTTTTTTTTTCTTATTCTGAGGTTATCTTTTTACCACAGTTGCACAATATCCTTTTGAAGACCATAACCCACCACAGCTAGAACTTATCAAACCCTTTTGTGAAGATCTTGACCAATGGCTAAGTGAAGATGACAATCATGTTGCAGCAATTCACTGTAAAGCTGGAAAGGGACGAACTGGTGTAATGATATGTGCATATTTATTACATCGGGGCAAATTTTTAAAGGCACAAGAGGCCCTAGATTTCTATGGGGAAGTAAGGACCAGAGACAAAAAGGTAAGTTATTTTTTGATGTTTTTCCTTTCCTCTTCCTGGATCTGAGAATTTATTGGAAAACAGATTTTGGGTTTCTTTTTTTCCTTCAGTTTTATTGAGGTGTAATTGACAAGTAAAAATTATATATAAATACAATGTATAATATGATGTTTTGATGTATGTGTATATACATTGTGAAATGATTACTACAGTCAAACTACTTAACATATTCATCACCTCACATAATTATTATTCTCCCCCCAGGGTGAAAGCATTTAAGATCTACAAGCTACAATTTTCAATTATACAATGTTATTATTAACTATAGTCACTATGCTGTCCAGTAGAGCTTCAGATCTTGTTCATCTTGTGTTCCTCCCTCCCCACCCTCAGTCCCTGGAAAACAGGTTTTAAAGATAGTTGCTAATCCTTATTTCTTCTAAATTTTTAAATCAGTTGCTGCCTCAATTTCTATATGAGAAATGACTGATTGATTTCATTTTTCTGTTCACGCTACCATTTTCATATCATACTAGCACATGTTACCCATTAACTGTATTGCAGATTTGGTCTCACAAAATTCTTCTAAAATAACATTTTTAAAAAGCATATTAATCAAAAATAAGCTTTATATTTCTGAAGCTTGTTTGAGCATAGAATGCCTTTGGATAAAATACCATTACCTAGTAAAGTGTGAACTTTTATAATCCATAAAAATTATTCTTTTATAAGAATATTCATAAATGTAGTTAGATTAATAGAAGATTCTCGATTCTTTGATCAGAAAACTAAGGACTATATTGAAAAATCAGTGACAAATTTAATTCTTATAGTACATCTGAAAGAAAAAAGAAAACTCTTGGGAGAACTTTTACAGTGATTTAATTTTGCTGTTGATATATTTCTTTGGGTGGTAAGTATGGCAAAACATGTTAAAATTTAATGCAAAGAGATTTTGTACATTTTTCCATCTCTAAGAAGGACAAAGCCTAAGCCCCTCCAGATAGATAGAAAAACTCATTTAGAGAGTTCTCCTTCATGTTAATCTAATTTCTTCTTAATTCAGCTGTAAAACAGAAATAGAATGATCGTATTAATCATTTAAAGCTGTGTAATTGCATAGATTCCTTGTTCCTTTACCCCCTCTTATATCTTGTTTCCTATCCTTTGTGACTTTTTTTGCATTATATATAAGGATGCCGAAATACTGTTTATTGTTGATAGTTTACAAAATTGAATCTTACATTAGTGCATAATTTTGGTGAATGTTGAAGATTATGGTAGATTGCCTTACATTTCTGCATATTGTTTGCACCTTGGAATGATAGCACTGGCATGAATTATAGAGCTGAGGATCTAAAGATTTTTACTTTGATTTATCCCATTATCATCTGCAGGGAAACAATTGCTTTTACTGATTAAAAATGCAGGCTGGGCACAGCGGCTCACGCCTGTAATCCCAGTACTTTGGGAGGCCGAGGCGGGCGGATCACAAGGTCAAGAGATCGAGACCATCCTGGCCAACCAACATGGTGAAACCTCATCTCTACTAAAAATACAAAAATTAGCTGGGTGTGGTGGCGCGTGCCTGTAATCCCAGCTACTCAGGATGCTGAGGCAGGAGAATCGCTTGAACCCGGGAGGTGGAGGTTGCAGTGAGCCGAGACTGTGCCACTGCACTCCAGCCTGGTGATAGAGGGAGACTCCATCTCAAAAAAAAAAAAAAATGCAGTAGCAAAAGCGATGGTAGAAATTTAAAACAGAGTTGATGAGCAGCATATATTTTGGTAGTGGAAAAAAAGGTAAAAAATTTTTTGTAATAAAATAGAAAAATTTTGTAATGTGGAGGCGCAGAACACTAGATTTAAGCCAGGGGGTCTTAAATTGTGTTACATTCCTTTTAAAGTCTGATGGAAGGTATAAATGTTCTCCCCTCAAAAAATGTGCATAGTGTACATAAAATTTTGCAGTTTTTATTACATTGAAATATATTCTTTTAGACAGAATGTAAAAGAACCTTCATGAAAACTATGTCACTTTTTTATGCAAAAACCAGTGGCTACTACATGAGAGCAATGAATAAATCTAAGTGGTACAAATTAACCAAAATTAAGCTTTAGTTCTGTTCAATACTAAATTTTAATGAAAAGACTGCTATTTAACTTTTAAAATAACAAGTTGAAACTATGCTCTTTGACTTTGACTTTGCAACTTTTATATGATCTTTGATATCCAATCAGTGTTGACTTTGGTAAAAAGTGCTGAAAATGCTATTTTACAAAAGAAAGAAGAGTAAATGGAATCTGTAGATTCTATTGCCTGATGAAAGTAGACGTGTCAAGAAATAAGAATTCTCCAAGGCTCTTCAGATAAATTCATGTTTCATCATTTTCTTTGCCTTCAAGTTACTGAGATCATTTTTGGCAAGATCTGTATCATTAATGCTGTGTTAGGAAAGAAAAGATTATGACTCCACATTTTACTTTCAAGGTTGAAGAGTTAAACTGTTTAAAAAGAGTGTATGTTATCCTGTAAACAGCAGTATCAGGCTGTAGAATTTGTCTTCTGAAAGCAGGGAACTTATATATAGCAAAGAACTTCATAGTGCTCCCATTTCTTGACAAAACCTCTCGAGAAGCTCTTGATTGAAAGTCTTGGCTTTCATGAATCTGGCAGCTTTCACAATAGTGGATTTTTCATGACAAATCATCTTACACAGGGAATTATTCAAGGGTTGGCACTTGAAACAGTAGAATACTTTCACAACAAGAGATAAGATTTCTTTCAGGATTGATGACAGTCTTGCACCCTAGCGCATACTGATGAAGAGAGCAGTGGGTGACCATGACATGGAGAGCTTCTGTCTTTACCAGTGCCCCAATATCAGATGTGTTGTCTGGCAGTAAGGTGTACTGTCTGCCTACAGAATACTGAGGTTTCTTCAGGAGAAGTTTTTTGGTAAAGAAACTTTACCATTTTGAAAGTGTTAATGTTTTCTGAAGCTTCCAAAAAGATTCCAAAATGGGAATGTTTCCTTGATTGTGTCACCATGCTTGCATTTGATGAAAACTTGTAGCCGGCTATACTGAGAAATCATATCTGAAGAAAGGTGGTACTTCCAATCTTTTTGTGACCTACTTTATTATTGTTTTTTTAATGTCAGGGTTTTTTTTGGAATGGAGAAAAGTATTTGATAGAGGTATTGCAACAGTCTTATTCTTCTTCATGCTACAAGTATATTTGACTCTTTCTAAGATACTTGCCTTCACTGTTCAACTGTGTGACTTTTTGTTTGTTTAGCATTACAATCAATATCCTAGTAGGATGATTTAATCAATGATTTTTAATTGGAACAAATAGTTTTTGTAATGGTCTAGGCTTTTCCAACTTAACTGTGCTCTCACATGTGGTCTCTTTTTCTCCCTCTTTCCTCCTTCTTATACACTCTCACCCACACACATATGCATACATACCCTGTCTGATGTATCTGCTTCTTCAGAATAGTTGGCTGTGCTCTGCTGATGATGAGAACTTGCCATTTAAGAAGGACTTGGGATAGTCCATGTCATCATGTTCAGGGATAAAAGTAAAACCCAAGGGCATTTAAACTTTATTGTATTTTATTTTCTGTTTCCAGTCCAAATTAAATCCAAGAGAAGGCTCCATAATCAAAAAGTAAGGACATATTTTAAATTTGCCAATGGGAAGATATTCTAGTCATTACAGTCTGGTAATACTATCAATTCTGTTTCTCTTCAGAGGTGAGGGGAGACTATTTGATGAAATCGTAAGTCCTGTAGGGTGTTGTGAAATAGGGCCAGAATGAAAGATAGCAAGAATAGTGTTATGAAAATAAAATGCAAAGTTTATAATATCATGTGGTAAAATGTAATAGTATTTACTTCATCAGTAGAACTGCTCTAGTAGCTGTATATTCTCCATCCTTGCATAGGTTGGAATATCCCCCAAGTGAAAAGAGATTGATGGGCTAATAGTTAATAGAAAATGGAGATCTGTACATACAGTGTTAAGAATGTAGATATTAAAATTGTTATATTTAGCTGTTACATAATATTAAGACTCAGAGTTAAGTAATTTCACTGAAATTGATTGCTTTTTGTGTCTTGGAGTCAAAATAAATAACTGAAATCTACTATACTTGGCTCATGCTTAATTAATATACTTAGACCATATTTCGGATGAATTATTCACAGAATCTAAAGGAGTATCCTCGTGTTCTTACCTTCTTTATCCCTGTGTTTATTTAAAAAGGCAAAAAAAATGGAGCAGATGCTGTTGGTTGACCATATTTTACTGAACAGTAGCATTTGTGTTTAGGTTGAAACAGCATTAGAAAACTAGATACGGATTAAAGTCAGTGGTAGGTTTTTTTTTTTTTTTCTTCCAGGAATGTTTCTTATAGATGATCAAACAGGCACAGGAAGGGGAAGTGTTGTGATCAATATTATCCAGTTAATATTAGCATTCAGAGGAAAATTTGAGTCCTCTGATACACTGTTAAATTTCTTTCTATACTATCAAGTCCACAAATCCTGGAACTGCAAAAGAATTTTGAGACTGTTCAAAATAATTAATCTCTGTATAGGCTCAGGCTTTCCTGCAAGGTTATGAAATGCTGATAAAATTGGTCTTATTTTGAAAGGCTCCTCAGCTTATACCTTTCCTTACAAATGCTTCCTTACAAATGCTAAAGCATTTAATGACTCCTGACTTAAAGGGAATTTGGACAGATTGAGGTTGTTGGTCTTGGAAATATAATACTGCAGGCTTCTGTAAAATACTTGAAATGTAATTGTTTTAAAACTTTCAAAGATACCACTTGTTTGCCTGTTGGTTAGAATACTGGTGAAATAATTTTTAATCTTTTATGAATAACTAATTTCATCATAAGAAAACTTAGCTAAGCATGGTAAAGCTGTTGTTATACAACTGTGGAATTCTTCCTGAGGAGTAACTATCTTATAATAAATGTAGTTGATTATCTAAAGTAGTTTTATTCTTGGAATATCTCATAATAGGTTTATTCTCTTCTTGTCAGTATTTCCTTGTAGATTGAGCCTGTGGATTTGCATTTTTGTAATTGTGAATCACCATTATAGGAGATACATGCATTTTATCTACTTTTCAGTTTGTATGGGGTTAACTTTATTAGAATTATCTTTAATGTTATTTTGCTTATATACTTAATTTTAATTATAGACAAACATTAAGAAGCTGGAGAAAATTATGTTCTAGTGACATTTATATAGAAGAAGAATCTTTTTTCCCCCTTTCTTTTTTGAAGGGAGATGAGGCAGTCATATTTTGGTAAAGAATTTGTAGACTTTGCAGAGGTCTCTTCAAAATAATCTGGCTCAGAGTCTTGACATATCCTCAGCAGACATGGTGCAAATTAGATGGCAGAGTGGTGGGTACAAGTTGACCATAAAATAACGCATTAGGTTAGTAATGCCCAAATAATACTTTGGGTTTTCAGTGTTGCAGAGAAGTCAGACAACTGATAGTTATTATAAAGAAAAATGTTCTGAGAGTGAGGTAACCGCTTAAGGGAAGGAAGCCTCCTTCTGTCTTATTCACTAATTTACAAGAAGATAATTGTGTTACACTTCCTTAGGAGTCATTCATTTGTATATTTGACACTTTTGCTTTATGAACATGTGAAGATTATTCAAAAGTAAGCTGTTGGTGATTTTTTTCTTCCAAGAAAGCATGCCACAGGGCAACTTCTAGGGTTGGTTCTCATCTAGTCCTGTGCTCCACACTATCTGCATCTGCACTTAAGTTTCAATATTAGATAACTCACATGTTTAAACTATGAAGAAAGAGTTAAAACATCCTGAGAATGCTAGTAAGTATGTATTTTTGAAAGGACTTCCAAAATTTGAGTTTAAAGAGGTAAACTCCTTTTACATGACAAAGTTACTTAGAAACACTACTGCTGTTTCCCTCTCCCTTGCCTTCTCCCTGTCCCATGCATACCCCCAGCTGTGTTCCAGAATGATGGCACATAAAGTAAACATTCATATTTATTTCCCTTTTTTTGTTTTTTTTTTTTTTTTTTTTTGCTTGTTTGTTTTGTTTTTTTGTTTGAGACAGTCTCACTCAATCACCCAGGCTGGAGTGCAGTGGCAACATCTCAGCTCACTGCAACCTCTACCTCCTGAGTTCAAGCGATTCTCCTGCCTCAGCCTCCCGAGCAGCTGGGATTACAGGCGCCTGCCCCCACGCCTGGCTAATTTTTGTATTTTTAGTAGAGATGGGGTTTCGCCATGTTGGCCAGACTGGTCTTGAACTCTTGACCTCAAGTGATCCGCCCACCTCGGCCTCCCAAAGTGCTGAGATTACAGGCATGAGTCACTGTGCCTGGCCTCTTATTTTTTCTTTGGTTAAACTTTTAGGGAAAAAGTTTGAGCTGCTTTTAATTTTCTTTTTGTTTTTAAATAAATTATTAAAGTTTCTCTATGTTAGGAACTCTTGTGTACATGAGTTCATTGAGCTTATTCTTAATAAAGACAAATCTTCTAGAAATAATAGTTGTATCTTTAAATGATCTCAAGGAAAATGTTTGGTTTCTCTGGGGAATGAATTTTCATGACCTAATCTTAAATCAGGTTATTTTTTCTAGCCTGTTTACTAAATTTCTACATGTTATAACCTAATGAAATTTTCTTACTTCCTCTTTATTTAAAACAAACTATAATTACTGTCTTTTTAAAAATCTTCCAATGTGGCGTTCTTATTTTTCTTAACATTTGAATTTTCCTGGGCCAAACCATGTTACTATGATACACATTATTTAAGGCTGTTATATAATACAGTAAAATTGTAGAACTTTCATACCTTGAAGGATCTTAGCAATTATTTAATTCAAACCCATTCTAACATAGATGATAAAACAGATTTGCAGGGTTGGGCACGGTGGCTCATACCTATATTCCCAGCACTTTGGGAGACTCAAGCGGGAAGATTGCTTGAGCCCAGGAGTTCAAGACCAGCTTGGGCAACATAGTGAGAGGCTGTCTCTACAAAAAAATATTTAAAAAATAGCCGGGCATGGTGTCACGTGCCTGTAGTTCCAGCTGCTTGGGAGGCTGAGGTGGGAGGATTGCCAGAGCCTGGGAGGTTGAGGCTGCAGTGAGCCATGATCACACCACAGCACTCTAGCCTAGAGCCTCCCTGTGTGGCAGGCTCTACACTTCAGATAGGCAACAGATCGAGACCTTGTTTCACAAAACGAACAGATCTGCAAAGATCAACCTGTCCTAAGTCATATAATCTCTTTGTGTAATAATAAAAACCCCATCTTCTAACCTTAAACCTGGTATTTTTTTCTACGAAACTATGTTCTGCAGTCCAAATTATTTTTCTTTATTATTTTGAATCCTAAAGTAGAAATAGAAACTTAGAAAAATAAAAAGCAACTCCTTTATGACATATGAGGACTTTTTCAGTTTTAAATAAGAAAAACCCAACTCAAAGTAGCTTAAATAAAAGGAGACATTTTTTGACTTACATAACCTAAAAGCTCTGGCCTGGATCTAGGTGCTCAACAGATCTCAAGAGTATCTCTCTTATTCTCTCTCCCTCCCTTACCCTCCTCCTCTTTTCTCTCTTCTGTATATATGTTATTTTCAAACAGGCTCTCACAAGTAGTGGCAAGATATAGTTCCTAATAGCTTCAGGTTTGCATTCTACCTACTTTAGCAACTATGATGAGAAGAGAGCTACAATTTGAGCAAAAATTTGTAGGGTGAGTTCTGATTTCCCTGGATTGAGGCACATGCCTATTATTCCTGAACCAAATATTCTGTCCAGGGAATGGAATTCTCTGGGGCATGTATCTAAAGCTGAAGTGTAGAGCCTGCCACACAGGGATAATAATAGTTTTCCAAAGAAAAATCAAGGAGGGGAAAGAATGTTGGAAAGAGAAAAAAATATCAGTTGTCTGCTTCACATTTGTTCTCAATAATTAGTTTCATAGAAGTGAAATACTGTGTAACACCCTAAACTTTAGAGATTCTTCGTAGACAGGAAAAATAAGAACTCAATGAAGTTGTGACTTCATTCAAATCACGTAGTTTATATACATGCTATTAGTAAAACCCAGGACAGCTGAGTACAAGTTTTACCCTTATATTCACATTGAGGTCCAGATCCTGGTTTTGAATGAGATAATTACGTGCAGTCGGACTGTTTTCTGATCCTAAAAATAGAGACAATAATATCTATCTTGTAAAGTTATGGTAGTGTTAAAGATATATAAAATGTTGGCAAGTACCTTAATATACAATAACTACTGCTATATGTTGTCATTGTAATAATAATCATATTTCTTCCTTTGTTGAATTGCTTTCCTGTAGTAATCTTATTGTGATCATCCTGAAACATAGATTTCCGAGCTTCAAGCAAACACTATTATGTTGAAAAATCTACATTATTTCTAAGTTTAGCAGTGCCAGTGGAAAGTTTATTGAAATAGAAAATTACTTTTTTAACTGAGGAGTGTAGATTGTGAATTCGTGATTCATCTTCTTAGGAGATGATCGGAATATTGATAAATATTGATGCATAGAATATGAACAAAACATTACATATCTTGTGCTGTGATATTAAAGTAGTATTCTGTTCTGGTAGTAGTATGGCAGTATTTTAGGTCTGAAAGATGTACATAATCTGTACTTTGAAGTCTGTTTTTTAAGAGATTAATCACAAGAGATTTACATAAAACAACTAAGGTTAAAAATAAATGGTGGATTAGAGATACATCAGGCAAATTTCAATTTCAAAAGCAGATGACAGAATCTCAGTATCAGGGTAGCATTTAAAGCAAAAAGCATTAAACTGGATCAAAAATGTCATTTTACATCAACACAGGGTACACTCCAGGTAAAGACTTAACAGTTATGAACGAATGTGCTAAACATCAAAATGTATTAAGTAAAAGCTGAAAGAAATGAAGAATAATTGGTAGAAAAGCAATGATAGGAATCCTTAATGTACTTCAAAAGGCACGAAGTAAGAAGGTACAGTCATGTACCACATAATGATGTTTGAGTCAACACCTGACCTGGTATACGACAATGGTCCTATAAAATTATAATGGAGCTAAAAAGCTTCTATCACCTAGTGATGTTGAAGCCGTTGCAATGCAATGTATCACTCACATGTTTGTGGTAATGCTGGTGTAAGCAAACTTACTGTACTGTCAGTTGTATAAAAGCATAGCACAGTTATGTTCAGCACATAATACTTTATAATGATAAACGAATATGTTACTAGTTTACGTGTTTACAGTACTATTATTTTAGCATGTGCTTCTGCTTATTAAAAAATGTTAACTATAAAATAATCTTTAGGCAGATCCTACAGGAGGTATTCCAGATAAAGGCATTATTGTCATAGGAGATGGCAGCTCCATGGATGTTATTGCCCCTTAAGACCTTCCAGTGGGACAAGATGTATAGGTGGAAGACAGTGATATTGATGATCCTGACCTTGTAGAGGCCAAGGCTAAAGTATGTATTTATTAGTTTTTAACAAGAGTTTAAAAAGTAAAAAAAAAAAATAAATTTAAAAATAGAAAAAATCTTAATAAGGATACAAAGAAAAAATGTTTTTGTGTAGCTGTGTAATATGTTTTTGTTTTAAGTTAAATGTTACAAAAGAGTCAGAGTTAAATTTTTTTATATTTATAAAGTGAAAAAGTTATAAAATGCTAAGGTTAATTTACTGAAGAAAGAAAAAATTTTTAAACAGATTTAGAGTAGCATGTTTATAAAATCTACAGTAGTTTACAGTAATATCCTAGGCCTTCACATTAACTCACCACTCACCCACTGACTCACCCAGAGCAGCTTCCAATCCTGTAAGCTCCATTCGTGGTAAGTGCCCTATACAGGTGTACAATTTTTATATCCTTTATACCATTTTTACTGAACCTTTTCTGTCTTTTAGATACACAAATAACATTGTGTTACAGTTGCCTATGATATTGAATACAGTAACTTACTGTACAAGTTTGTAGCATAGGAGCTGTATCATATAGCCTGGGTGTGTAGTGAACTATACCATCTAGGCTTGTGTAAGTATATTTTATGACACAGTGATGAAATCATCCAGATACAGTTTCTCTTAAGCAACACATAACTGTATATATATATATATAGGTGGCTTTAATAATAAAATAATGAAATATATTTCTTTTTTTCTGTCATTGACAAAACAATTACCAGTCTTACTAATTAGATCAACTGCAAAACAAAATCTCACTCAAAAATAAAAATATGTAAGTCCCATTCCTTGATTACAATTCATTAGAACTGGAGATTTTTAAAAATGTTTAAATTTATATGGAAATATAAAATCATGTTTTAAATAATTTTTGATTCAATGAGGAAATGTAAATTTAGAACTAAAGATTAATAACTAGAGATTTATAAAGGCAAAAATGTTAATGAATTAGGAAACAGTAAACCATTTGAACTAATCTAAATACTGATTGCATGAAAATGCCAATAAAATCAATACATATTTTTAAAAGCCAGTCAAGGATAAAAGAAAAGAGGGAAACTAAAAGTGAGACATTAAGTATGAGAAAGGAGATAAAACTAAAGTGTGGAGGTGATGTTAAAAATTATATTCAGGTCTGTGCTAATCATTTTGGAAATTTCAGTGAGAAGTGGGCAATTTTCAGTGAATATATCATTGTAAATGCTTTGAGGAGAGACAAAATCTGAATAGACCCTGCAATAATGAAAATGTCTAGGAGCCCTCAAGAAATACCTGGTTTAAATTGCATTTCAGGTGGCTGGTTATCACACCTTGAAGTATCAAGTAATTATGTTATCTAAATTGGACCAGGTGTTAGAAAAATATGTGAGACTTCACAGGTGGCTGCTTATGTAGCCCTTATACCTTAATCTGATAAAGGTAGCATATATTTAAAAAGAGAGAAAACCAGAAGGTACAATTTAGGGAAAATTAAATACTTCTATTTGGCCAAAGTAAGAGTACATTCAAGGGAATTGTGAGAGGTAAGAGTGGAAACAGAGGTTGGAGCTGTATTTTTATGCTGTGATTGAATTACAGTGTGTGATAAATATTGCTCTTATTTGGGTAGATTACCATTTAACATTTTGAATTAATTGGTAATTGGATTAATCTTAACTTTTAAAAAACTAATCTGAGAGTGGTATAAAGGATAGATTACAGAATGGATAAAGGGTGATAAATCAGTTGGCTATGGCAAAATTGCAGGAAGAAACTGAAATAGGCCACAGAAAACTGAAACTGACATTTTGAGTAGTATTTCAGAATCAAGATCTGGATTTTGGCAACTGAATAGATGCGTAGGAATCAAAGATGAGTATACTAAATGAACTTAATCTATGATTTGTCTGTCATTTTATTGTGTACCATTAGTGTGTATGCATGTATGTATGTGCCAGGTAGTTAATAGGCTGACTGTGTCTCTTAGCTCCACTCTGCTGCCTGGGCCTTTGCCATAGTGCTGGAGTTCCCTCACTTCTCTTTTCTGTAACCCTATTATATTACTGCTGTCTCTCAGCTGTGTTTCATTCCTCAAGCAGAAAGAAGATGGGAGGATCATATAGTAGTTGACTAGAAGCTGTGGAGTTTGAGTGCTGGGATTATATCTAGTTCCATTACTTATGAAGATTATATCTAGTTCCATTACTTCACCTCATCTATAAAATGGTTTACCAATAGTACCTACCTTACATGGTTTTATGAGTATTAAATTATGTATTTCTAAAGACATTTAGAACAATACAAAGAATATAGTGTGGGCTCAATAAGTGACGATGGTGTTAGTTATTAGAAGGCCATCGAGTGCTGGAGAAAATAATTGAATATCATTGATGGAAATAAAGGAAGTTTTCCACGTTAAAAAGCTTCGGTTTTTGGAAATGTGTGTTTTCAGTATTTCTGAGATTACCAGGTAGAAATTCCAGCCAGATGTTGGAATTCTGCACTGGCAGTTGGGAATAAAGTCATGTTAAAGGAGATAAGTTTTGGAGTTATTGTGTAAAATTGGTAAAGCACTGGAATAGATTGGTTTGACAGAGGGGAAACTCTTTTTGAGATAGGCCTATATTTAGGGACAAGAGAAGAGACAACCAATAAGGGTTGAAAGAAACCTTGAGAGAGTAAGTCCTATGACAGAAGCAGGGAAGTTTCAGAATGATTGCAGAAAGATCAGCCAGGCTCTTCCTGTTCTCCATCGTGGTGCAGGATCAAGGTGAAAAGGATAACCCCATGCAGGAATTTTGCATCTGCAGGCTCCGCTTCAACATCTGTTTAGGAGAAAGTGGAGACAGACTGACCTGAGTAACTAAGGTCTTGGAACAGCTTACAGGTCAGAACCAGGTGTTTTCCAAAGCTAGATATACTGTTAGCGCCTTTGGCAACAGAAGAAATGAAAAGACTGTTGTCTGCTGCACAGTTCGAGGGGCCAAGGCAGACGAAATCCTGGAGAATGATCTAAAGGTGCAGGAGTGTGAGTTAAGAAAAAATAACTTCTCAGATACTGGAAACTTTGGTTTTGGGACCCAGGAACACATTGATCTGGGTATCAGATATGACCCAAGCATTGATGTCTACAGCCTGGACTTCTATGTGGTGCTGGAAAAGCCAGGTTTCATCATTGCAGGTAAGAAGTGCGGGACAGGCTTCATTGGTGCCAAATAGAATCAGCAAAGAGGAGGCCATGCGCTGGTTCCAGCAGAAGTATGATGGGATCATCCTTCCTGGCAAATAAATTCTCATTTCTACCCAAAAGGGTAATAAAAAGTTTTCAGTGAAATGTTTAAAAAAAAAATAAAAAAAAGATCAGCCAGCAGCCAGGATGGGATTGTGAAAACAGCAGGAAATTAGTTGTTGACAAAGCATTAATGACCATTAAGAAATCAGCCTCGGCTGGGCATGGTGGCTCATCCCTGTAATCGTAACACTTTGGGAGGCCAAGGCAGATTTCTTGAGTCCAGGAGTTGAGACCAGCCTAGGCAACATGGCAAAACCCTCGTTCCTCCTTAATAAATAAATAAATGAATAAATAAACAAGCAAGCAAGCAGGGCTTGGTGTTAGGCGCCTGTACTCCTAGCTACTCGGGAGGCTGAGGGGGTTGAACCTGGGAGGCAAAGGTTGCAGTGAGCCAAGATTGCACTACTGCACTCCAGCCTGGGTGACAGAGTGAGACCATGGCACCCCCCTCCCCTTCAAAAAGAAATCAGCCTCATAATCAATTTCTCTGGATTAAGGAGTAAGAGCGTCTCAAGATTTGCTGTTTATAGAGAGGGAGGCTAATAGTTTGAGAGAGATACAGAATCTAGGGAGAGTGTGGGTTTTTGGTCTTTCAGTTGTTTGCCAGCCTTGGATAAAGAATGAAGATTACTTGAGCATATTATTTAGAGACAAGTGGAGAGAATAAAGGCACATGCCAGATAGGAGATAATTAATAAAGCACTTGTCCAAAATAGAAACTTGTTGAACAGGAAGAGACGTCAAGTATAAGGAGATTTTAAGATGGGAGAAGGGAATTTTGAGTGTTTGTATTGGATGACCTCAGGGTTCCCAGTAAAGCAGGAGCTGAATTCATCGAAGGTGATGTGTTGGTCAGGATCAAGAGAGAGGTTGGGAGAACAAAGTGCTAAAATCGTTGTGGTCAAGAGTTTAAAAAGTGTATACCAGAAGAGTTATTGAGTGATAGGGGTTTGAAATAGGCAAAGCTGTAGGAAAGGGGGCTGGAAGGAATATTAGGAGGAACACTAAATATACTTCTGAGGTCTACCTCCTGGTCTGTGAACATAAAGGAGCTGAAAGAGTAATGGCTGAAGTTCTTTAGTTTAGCTAAAGTTTTTTAGCTAAAGCTAGAATTGTTGAAAGTTGTATTTGAGGAAAAAAAGTTAAGGATACAGTTGACCGTTCGATAATGTAGCCCACTGTTGACCAGAAGCCCTACCCACAACATAAACAGGCAATAACACATATTTTGTATGTGTATTATATAGTATATTCTTAACAATAAAGTAAACTAGAGAAAAGAACATGTATCAAGAAAATCATAAGGAAGAGAAAACACATTTACAGTACTGTACTGTATTTATTGGTACCATACATTTATGTTGCTGTTTACAAGATGAAGCATCTGTCTGAAATGGCCAGCAGCTACAGCTGTACCTATCTACTGTACATATCAAGCAAGTCACTTTATTCTTATAATGTCTATGACTTCTTTCTTTGAAAGCGCTTCCATCATCACTGTTGGCACTTCATATGGGTCTCATGGTGTTAAGGTTTACGGCATTGCACTAGACACAATGAAAACTACACAAGAGGGCCGGGCACGGTGGCTCACGCCTGTAATCCCAGCACTTTGGGAGGCCGAGGCGGGCGGATCATGAGGTCAGGAGATTGAGACCATCCTGGCTAACACAGTGAAACCCTGTCTCTATTAAAAATAAAAAAATTAGCCAGGCATGGTGGCACGTGCCTGTAATCCCAGCTAATCGGGAGGCTGAGGCAGGAGAATCGCTTTTTCCCAGAAGGCGTAGGTTGCAGTGAGCCGAGATCGTGCCACTGCACTCCAGCCTGGATGATAGAGGGAGACTCTGTCGCAAAAAAAAAGAAAAGAAAAAGAAAAGAAAAGAAAAACACACAAGAGCCGTGAGAGAGATAGCTTTTGATTGCAATACACAATTTACTGGAGAGATGAGCTGATCATACAGAGATGATTAGTGTCACACAGTGTTTTAAACAGATTCTTGCAACCCTGGAGTTCACTGCAGTAGCAACAGAAGTTAGCTATGAGATTTTAACAGTAGTATAGTATGTACTACAGTTAATATTAGGTAGCTATGATTTAATGCTGCATCTTTGCATTTGTTTACATTTATCTTGACTACAAGTGGTATTATGTCTGGTCTTAAGGTTTGTGTGCATATGTTTTGATGAATTTTAACTTTTTATAATAGGTTTGTGTATATTTTATGGCAGTAAATGATAAAACAGACTAATCTACATATATTTTATGTAGTCATGACATAAACCTAACTTTTTCTTAACTTTTTGATATTTCTAGTCTATGTGTTTCATCTGCAGGTTTTTTCAAATTGTTGAAATCTCTGAAAAATTTTATTGAAAAAAAATCCATATATGTAAGTGGACCCACACATTTCAAACCTGTGTTCAAGGGTCAGCTGTGTAAATAATTTTCCTCAAAATTAAAGTGGAAAAGGAGAGTTACTACTAGTAGAAAGTAGAACTGTACCCTTGGGCAGGGGTGTGTGTGTGTAGTTAAAGATCAATTTAACTTAAAAGGTCTTGGTTAGAGAATAAAAACTGGCCCTTATTAGCTTTAATTTACATGAAAAATGAAAAATTTTAGGCCAGGCACAGTGGCTCAGGCCTGTAATCCCTTAACTTTGGGAGACCAAGGGGAGTGGATCACTTGAGGTCAGGAGTTCAAGACAGCCTGGCCAACATGCTGACTCACCCTTCCCTACTGAAAATACAAAAGTTAGCCAGGCGCAGTGGCCATCCCTACAGTGCTAGCTACTCGGGAGGCTGAGGCAGGAGAATTGCTTGAACCCGGGAGGCAAGGTTGCGGTGAGCTGAGATCGCACCACTGCACTCCAGACTGGGTGACAGAGCGAGACTCCATCTCAAAAAAAAAAAAAAAAAAAAAAGATTTGAAAACAGAGTATTTTTTAATCTGCAAGAGCTTTACAGCCTTTTATTCATATGTATAAGCTTTTAAAGATGACTAAAATTTTAGTGTGGACTTTCCACTCATTGGAAATCCTATATTGCAGGTGTTAATTCAATTTTAGTGAGTGTGCATCATGGCTCAGAGAGATAGGACTAGAATGAGGAGGTCACATTGGAGACTCTGAAACAGATACATGTGAGCCTCCCAACTTTTTAATATTTGTTAATCTAGAAGTGTTGAATTTTGGGTGCTGACAAGGCAGCAGGTAGATAAGAATTGCAAAGTTAAGAAAATAGACTGTAATATTGATGGTAAACTAATTGATTAAATTTTAAAATGTACTTTTCCATGTTTTTCTTTGAATTGTCAGTAATTTTGTTTCAACTGGTATTCATACATAGATTATTCACCCAATGTTGACAACTAGTAGATTTATATATTTTTTATGTTGCCTATCCTTTTTTGGGTAAGGATTAACAGAATGTATAATCACCTACATTATAGGTACACTACTAATCACTTGCTACTTGAAAAAACCTAAAGCTTTGAAATCTTTTTATTATTGCACACAAACTTATGCCAAAAATGGAGATAAAGAGAAAAATGTCATCCACTAAACCCCAACAAATAATGTTGACAATGTGGTCTACTCGTAGACTCGCATTGACTTAATTTTTTTAAATCTTATTGCATATTTTGACTAGATAATAAATGCATATGGTTAAAAAATTCACATGGTTCAAAAAAGTACACCTCCCACTCATCTTCCATGTGATATTTCCTTTCTGCTTAGCAATTCTGTATTTATCTTGCTAAACATGAATGACAGTTGTTTGCTGAAATTACATTAAATGTGACGTAATAAAATCATTGTAAGTTTACATTTTTTAACTTTAATAATTTTTAATGTTTTAATGAAGAGTATGAAGAGTAGTAGTACTGCTCTTCAAAGTACTACTACTTTACCTTACCTTTTACTGTTTTGTTAAGAAAATTAGGCCGGGCGCAGTGGCTCACGCCTGTAATCCCAGCACTTTGGGAGGCCGAGACGGGCGGATCACGAGGTCAGGAGATCGAGACCATCCTGGCTAACACGGTGAAACCCCGTCTCTACTAAAAATACAAAAATTAGCCGGGCATGGTGGTGCGCGCCTGTAGTCCCAGCTACACGGGAGGCTGAGGCAGGAGAATGGCGTGAACCCGGGAGGCAGAGCTTGCAGTGAGCCGAGATCGCACCACTGCACTCCAGCCTGGGCGACAGAGCGAAACTCCGTCTCAAAAAAAAAAAAAAAAAAAAGAAAAAAGAAAATTATATAGAAATAAAATTCCAGCTATTCCAAAACTGCACCTTGAATACAGGTACAGAATTGCTAAAACCGTGTACCATTTTGTAGTTTTAGCATGCTTTTGTGTAACTGCATCTGGTGTTTGATCCTCATGAGAGCCCTGTTAAGGAAGGGTACATATTATTGTCCTCATTTTCCTTCGAAAACACATCAGAGTTTGTATTTTGACTGTCAGCATTCAAATACAAGTCTTTTATTTATAAAATTTTGGTCTTTATACTGTGGCTAAAAATCTTAAATCACTTGTCATGATTTGAAATGGTTTATACCGATTTTTTTTGACATTTATACACACATACACATATTTTTAAATTGTCTATAATAAAATCATGCTCATCTTTGAAAAAATATTAGGAGTACTACAGTGGATACCTACATACTTGCTATTCAGCATACCTGGTTTTTTGTTTGTTTTTTGAGACAGTCTTCTCTGTGGTCCAGGTTGGAGTGCAGTGGCACGATCTCAGCTCATTGCAACCTCCGTCTCCCAGGCTCAAGTGATTGTCCTGCCTCAGCCTCCCAAGTAGCTGGGACTGCAGGTACACATCACCACGCCCAGCTAATTTTTTGTATTTTTGGTAGAGACGGGGTTTCACCATGTTGGCCAGGCTGGTCTCCAACTCCTGACCTCAAGTGATCAGCCCACCTCGGCCTCCCAGAGTGCTGGGATTACAGGTTGTGAGCCACTGCACCTGGCCTGTTTTTAAATTCACATAAATATGTTTTATATTTTTCATTAGGGAGAAGAAGGTTGTGTCTACAATTTTTAAGACATTGGGGAGATTTAGATGCCAGTAGTAACTTAAAAGAGAAATAATTGCAAATTCTTTTTCCTCTTGAGTATACTTTCATTTAAGGTACAGTGTTCTGTAAGTTACTTTTACCGTTAAACTTCTTAATGTTGCTTATTGTTTGTCTTACATTTTTAGGTTGGATTTTTCTTAAGTCACATGTCTAATAAAAAAAACCCTTAAATACCTCATTTATTCGTCTTCGTTAGTGAATGCATTGTTGTACATATTAGATTTTTCTCTTTAGATAACTCAGCTTCCCCTATTAAGTGCCACATGTATTACAAAATTTTATTTATGTTTTATTGTTTAATAAACTCTTGAGAACTAGATACATTTTAATCATTTGTAATACTTACATTTTCTAAAACACTTCATTTTTCCCTGGTTTCTTCAACAAAGAGATGCATGTAGTACAAGGATAGCTTTACCTGTGTTAGAAGATTGTTTCACACATTTACATCAACTGCATAGTCCTGTTTTTGTTGGGCCCTAATGCCAGCATCACTTTTTGCTACTGCTGTTTCTGCCTTAAAGGCAATATGCCTCTGTCTAGTTTGCTGATTCTGATACTCTTTCCCCTGGAAAGTAGGTAATCAAGTTTGTGAGGAGCTGTGTGTTTAAGGAGTCCATAAATCCTTGTGGGGAGCCCTAGGTGTATAGAGCATAGCTGTAGGGCAGAGGCCTTTGACACTTATTCTGGATATGCAGTGGCCTTTGCCTATGGGGTTCATGGGTCAGAGCGCTGTTGTGACCTTTGAATAAATGGGTTGTTATGATAATTGTTTTAAGGGAGGAGAGTTATTCTGATATCCTTTGTATTGATATTGCTCTTATTTATTATTGAGCTGGATTTAAGTATTAATCATTTAAGGTCAAATTTCTAATGTATATATGTTCTTAAATGGCTACGACCCAGTTACCATAGCAATTTAGTGAAATAACTATAATGGAACATTTTTTTTCAATTTGGCTTCTCTTTTTTTTCTGTCCACCAGGGAGTAACTATTCCCAGTCAGAGGCGCTATGTGTATTATTATAGCTACCTGTTAAAGAATCATCTGGATTATAGACCAGTGGCACTGTTGTTTCACAAGATGATGTTTGAAACTATTCCAATGTTCAGTGGCGGAACTTGCAGTAAGTGCTTGAAATTCTCATCCTTCCATGTATTGGAACAGTTTTCTTAACCATATCTAGAAGTTTACATAAAAATTTAGAAAGAAATTTACCACATTTGAAATTTATGCAGGAGACTATATTTCTGAAGCATTTGAACAAATTAATTAGCTTTGTTGTTCAACTCATTGGGCTAAAGAAGCCAAAAGCAATGGGTTTTAATGTAGTCGAAGCCAAATTATATTTATGAAAGAAATATTCTGTGTTATAACCACCAAATACAGCCCAATTCTGACTAGATGATGGAAGAACCTGTCCCATCAGAGGTCCAGCATGAGGTCCAGCAGAGGTCCACCAGAGGAGTTCAGCAATTTGCTGCTCTTAGGGCAGGGATCAATTCCTTAATATCTTAGGAAGACTAGGTATTGACAGTAATGGTGACAAAGCAATGAAAAGGAAAGGAAGAAGTGATAAGACGTGGCAGCAAGCTGAAGTATGATGAGTAAAGAATAGGAATCAAAGTATGTGGAGTGTTAGAGAAAACCTGGATTTAGATCCAGATTCTAGTCCTATCTCTGTCATTAATCTATTGCGTAACCCTGAGCATATCATCTACCTCTCTTTGAGTTTGCTTGTCAATAAAATGAAGAGACTTTGAAATCTGAGACTTCCTGGATAAGTACTAAATACAGATTATGTCACTGATGTCTGCCTCTATTTATTTCTCCCTTTTACCCTAATCTCTATAAGTCTACCTCAGTCATCCTGATCCTATTCTACTTCTCTGATGTTGTTGTCAGATAGGTGTGATCATCCTCATCAGATCTTTTCTGTATTCTTAGAGACAGATAACTTTATCAAAGACCACAGATTTATTAGTATAGCATGTTAAAGTCTTCTAAAGAGTCTCATTGATGCTCTTTTCATCTCAGTACAATTTTTAAAACTGCTGAATGCAAGGTACTGAGCTGTTGGAAGTGACTGACAGATGAATGTAACAGATTCATAGAGAAGGAAAAAGGAAGAAAAACTCATGCTCTTCCTATAGTATTGATATCAGTGTAAGAGCCAAGAGAAAGGTATAAAGTATCATGCAGATATTAAGGGAAAGAAAACATTCACTTTAGTAATCTTTCCTCATTTTCTAGTTTCCTCTTATGTACTATGATTTAATACTGTAGTAAAGTTTTAATAAAATATGAGCTATATGTAATTAAGTGGGAGGTTGTGGGGCTAGGCACGAGGCTCACACGTGTAACCCCAGCACTTTGGGAGGCTGAGGCAGGCGGATCGCTTGATCTCAGGAGTTCGAGACCAGCCTGGACAACAAGGTGAAACCCCATCTCTACTAAAAACACAAAAATTAGCTGGGCATAGTGGCACACACCTGTAGTCCCAGCTTCTTGGGAGGCTGAGGCAGGAGAATCGCTTGAATCCAGGAGGCAGAGGTTGCAGTTAGCCGAGATCATGCCACTGCACTGCAGCCTGGACATCGGAGCAAGACTTTGTCTTAGAAATAAATAAATAAATATAAAATAAAATAAATGGGAAGTTGTGTATATAAATTATAAATGCTACATTCAGAAAAGCTTTTGAAGGTTGTCAGACAGTTTCTTAAAGGAAGTTCACCAGTTCTTTATTGAACATTGAAGAAAACATACAGTTTAGACTGGCATTAAAACTGAAAGAAGTGGCCAGACGCAGTGGTAGACGCAGTGGTTCACGCCTGTAATCCCAGCACTTTGGGAGGTCAAGGTGGATGGATCACCTGAGGTCAGGAGTTTGAGATCAGGCTGGCCGACATGGTGAAACCCTGTCTCTACTAAAAATACAAAAATTAGCCAGGCATGGTGATGCGTGCCTGTAGTCCCAGCTACTTGGGAGGCTGAGGCAGGAGAATTGCTTGAAGCCGAAGGTGGAGGTTGCAGTGAGCCGAGATTGCGTCATTGCACTCCAGCCAGGGCGGTAAGAGTGAGGCTCCGTCTTAAAAAAAAAATAAGTAAATAAATTAAAAACTACTGAAAGAAGTATTACAGGCAATGGGAAATAGCTTGAGTGGAAGTGCAGCAGAAGGAAAAAGCTGGACAAGAATGTAGTGTCAGAGAATAGGTATGGAACGTGTGAGTGACTGTTAGAGGATCTTGAATGGGGATAACAGACTTGATTTCATAAATACTGAGATGTCATGATAATACTTGAGGACTAAACCATGTTTTAAGGACAGTTGTATGCAAAGTTGTAATCGCAAGAGGAAAAAATAGTGGAAAAGAAACCAGTAATAAAACTTGCCTTAATGCAGGTATGCTAAGACAATCAAATGGGATTTCATTAATTTTTTATTTGCCATTTATAGCCAAAGATTTTGTAAAAGTTTTGAGCCCAGTCAGGTGAAATAGTCTCAGAAAGAAAGAAAAGTGAATCTGAGACTTGGAGACATTAATGTTGATATTTTGGTTTTAAACGTGTTTTAAATCCGGTAAAAGTGAGCTTCTCACATGACAATATTCAGTGGGTACTTGGGAGTATGGGTTCGAATCTAGGTAGGAGATATATCGATATTTTGGGCATCATCAGGAAAGGGAGAGTAGTTAAGCCTTTCATATAAATAATGGTGTGGCGTTTGGGCATGGGAAGTCTTGGAGGAAAGGAAGAAAAGGAGAGGGTGAGGACTGAGATAAGAATGGCAACTTGGGTTTAGGAAGAAGAAGAGGAATCAATGTAGAGAACAGATAGTGCTGAAAAATACAGCATCTTCTGTAGGGATTGGCAGCTTTTTCTTGATTTTTGTCTTAATATTTCTAAGAGATGGAAAAAGCTACTATATTCTAGACATTTAACAGGGTTAAAAATGTTACTAAAAGATGATCAATGTGGTTTTCATTCAAGACTATAACAATATGTATATATCCAAGGAAATTTAATTCTGACTTAAAAAAATTGTTTTGCTTGTATAGATTTAGGGACACAAGTGTAATTTTGTTACATGCATAGAGTGTATAGTTTCAAGTCAGGGCTTTTAGGTTGTCCATCATCTGAATAATATACATTGTACCCATTAAGTAATTTCTCATCTTCTACTCACCGTTTCAAGTCTCCACTATTTATCATTCCATTCTTTACATTCTGATTTTCATTTACTAGGTGTATTAGTCTGTTTTTGCATTGCTTTAAAGAAATACCTGAGACTGAGTATTAAACAGGTTTAACCTGTTTTCTTTATGAATTCTTCTTTAATTGGCTCATGGTTCTGCACGCTGTACAGAAAGCATAGCAGCATCTGCTTCTGGGGAGGCCTCAGGAAGCCTCCAATCATGGCTGAAGGCAAAAGGGGAGCATGGTGAGAATGGGAGCAAGAAAGAGAAGGAGTGGTGGGGAGAAGGTGCCACCCACTTTTAAATGCCAGCTCACTTACCACCAAGAGGATGGCCCAAGCCATTCATGTGGGATCTGCCCCCATGATTCAAGCTTCTTCCACCAGGCCCCACCTCTAGCACTGGGGATTACAATTCAACCTGAGATTTGGGAGGGAAAGATATCCAAACTATATCACTAGGTCTGGATCTTGTTATTTATTTTTTGGAACATAGTCATATATATCCAAGGATATATATTGTAGAAGTCCACAGAACCATACTAATATTGGACTTCTGCTTAGTTAGGTCTTATCTATCTGAAACATGATATTCATATTGCAGAGAAGATTATTTTCTTTAGTGATTGAGGAAATCTTTACTACTTATACATTTTTAATATAATACTATAATATTTGAAGATGCACATTTTAGATGTAGTTTAATTGAAACCTGGAAATACTATTAATTTGCTTTTTAAAGTCCTAAAATCAGGATTATCAGATTCTGAATTAATGGAGTTTAAATCAAAAAGATTACAAGGCAGTTTTTCAGTTTTATTCTGGTTAATTTTATCACAGCTTTGGAATCCTACTTTGTTTATTTGCTTCTTGAAGTTAGATTTCCCAGTGAAATTTCAGTATCACATAAAGTCTTATGAAATGGCTCATTGCACTTTGAACTTTGAGTCAAGGAAGTGAAATTTATTGATAGATTGTTGGTGTAATATTTATCCTGTTTGTGGTAGCTTTTTTGAATAATAAGTGTCTTAGAAGACCATGTTGGAGTAGCCTGCATGCTTTTATCAAACATATTAATTATGTGATGGCTGATACTGCTTTAGATATTACATAGAAATAGTAGTAGGTGTTTACTAAACTGGAAATTTCATTTAACTTGGTTTAGCTTTGCCTTGTTCTCAGTCACATTGATAAAAATGTAAGACTTTTGTTTATCTTTTAGAATAATGACACCTTTTGGTGCTGAGAATTTTTTGTTTTATATATATATATATATATACGTAATATAAATACAAAATATATTTAAATATGTATAATATTTCTCATACACTTTATGTAACTTTGTGTTCCTGTTTCTCTATTATCTTGGCATGTTTTCTTCAAATGGCACTTCTTAACCTCCTAAGGTTAATAAATTTCTTTGTAATGGACTTTTGTTTTCTAATTCCTCAGCGTATGACAAATGAATTATACTTTGTCAAATTATTTAGGTAACTTTCAGTTTTTGAAGTCCTGGGATCATAACATTCATCAGTCTTTAATTTCTGTCATTAAGGTCATTAGCTATAAATGAATTTATGAGTAGATTTAAAAAATAAAACATACAATCCTTCCCTTAACACACTTTCCCACCATTTGGTTCAACTGCTAGTGTAAAAGCATGATGAATTTTGAGAAGTTATATTTTACCAGTTACTTTATTTTTTACCAGTTATTTAAAACAGACATGAGCCAAAGCCAGAATACTTGTTAATGAAAATGAGGTGTTTTGGAGGAAAGGAAGGTTGTGCTGCAGTTTTTACTTGAAATCTGTTACATTTCTTTACAGAAATTTCAAATCTCTTGTTTCCTGTTATGATGGTGGCATTATATACCTTTAAAATGTGAGCTATAGGAAAATGAATGATGGTTAATTTTTTAATAAATATTTAGACTTGTGTTTTTGAAATTTTTTATAACATTGTTATAGGTTTTATCCTCTTTCTCTTGTGAACATGTAGTGATTTGTATTTTGTGATCTTTGCCGCATGCTAGAGACTTAAGAATACTATAGCAAATATCTGTCTTCTTTACATTTAAAAATTTTTCGTGACTACTCCCTGTTGATATCTGTCTTAAAAGTTACTTTTGATGTAGTTCACAAATGTACCAGATAATTATTTCATCGTTTTTAATGCTTAAAGTTTTTATTTGTATTAGGATTTTTAGTATGATTTTAATGTTAAAGTTTTGAAGTTACTCTGCCACTAGAAGTCTAATTTTGGGACTTACTATTCATGAAATAGGAATTGACTTTTATATAAGTAATAGGACCTTATTTTGAAGGTTCAAACTGGAGAAAATCTTACATTGTTTATATTTTTATTTCATTTATTTCAGTTGATTTGCTTGAGATCAAGATTGCAGATACAGAATCCATATTTCGTGTATATTGCTGATATTAATCATTAAAATCGTTTTTGACAGTTTGACAGTTAAAGGCATTTCCTGTGAAATAATACTGGTATGTATTTAACCATGCAGATCCTCAGTTTGTGGTCTGCCAGCTAAAGGTGAAGATATATTCCTCCAATTCAGGACCCACACGACGGGAAGACAAGTTCATGTACTTTGAGTTCCCTCAGCCGTTACCTGTGTGTGGTGATATCAAAGTAGAGTTCTTCCACAAACAGAACAAGATGCTAAAAAAGGTTTGTACTTTACTTTCATTGGGAGAAATATCCAAAATAAGGACAGATTAAAAGCTATATTTTATTTTATGACATGTAAGGAACTATAATTTGTTTTCTATTAGATCTGCAGGTGTTTTGCTTACTCTGGCATTGGTGAGACATTATAAGGGTAAATAATCCTGTTTGAAGGAAAAGGCCTTATGGCATTGTAACATGAGAGGAATTTTTCTTAACAAGGATGGTTAACTGAGAAGAAATTAGCATGGGACCAATATTTTAAAAATTTTGGTCTATAGGTAGAAATGAGATCTGTTCTGTGGTCTTATGTAGTGACACAAACCACTTTTTCTCCATTTTGGCTTATGTTTCTTTTTCTTTCCTTTTTTTTTTTTTTCCTTTTTGTTAGAGACAGGGTCTTGTTCTATTGCCCAGGCTGAGTAGCTAAGACTACAAGCATGTGCCACCACACCCAGCTAATTTTTTTTATTTTTATTTTTGTAGGGACAGGGTCTCACTATGTTGCCCAGGCTGGTCTCAAACTCCTGGGCACAAGCAGTCCTCACGCTTTGGCATCCCAAAGAGTTGGAATTACAGGTGTGCGCCATCATGCCTGGCCTTAACGTTTCTTAAGACTTGATTATTTTCTATTTAGCTTCTGTGGATTTACTGATTAATTTTTTAACTAGGAGAGAAATCAGTATGAAGAGGAAGTAATAAAGAATGAAAACATGGTATTTAAATGTGCAGGTTTAGAAAGTTAATGAAGTTTGAATTTGATTGATCTGTATTTAGAGAAGGCAACGTCTTATTATTTTAAAACCAACTATCCGCCCTGTGCGGTGGCTCACGCCTGTAATTCCAGCACTTTGGGAGGCTGAGGTGGGCAGATCAGCTGAGGTCAGGAGTTCGAGACCAGCCTGGCCAACATGGTTAAACCCCATCTCTACTAAAAATACAAAAAAATTAGCCGGGTGTGGTGGCAGGCGCCTGTTTTCCCAGCTACTCAGGAGGCTTGAGGCAGGATAATTGCTGAACCCGAGAGGCGGAGGTTGCAGTAAGCCAAGAATGCACCATTGTACTCCAGCCTGGGCAACAAGAGTGAAACTCCATCTCAAAAAAAAAGAAAAAAAAAACAACAACTATCTTCATTTAAAATATTAAATGTGAATATTTAAAGTGAGACTAAGGTGCAACATTTTTAGATAGTAATGAAGAAAAGGACTAACTTTGTAGTGTTGCTGCCTTGTTAAACATACTAGATAGCATATTGCCAATCTTTAAACATTCTCAATGATAGGATTTATTTACTTTTTCTGATTTTTAGCTTTTCTTTTGAAAGAAAATAAGAGGAAGTTTCATTTACTGCAAAATTTTAAATGCTGCTTTGATGTATCAGTAGAGATATAATTTTCCTTTATCCAGAATCCAAGTAGCTGGAAAAAAAAATCAAAATATGCTGAACTTTTTTTTTTTTAGCCAGAAACCCATTTCCTATCGTCTGTACAAATAAAAGTTAAATATATCTCAATAACTTAGAAAAATTATTTTTTGATAATCCAGGAAGTATTAGCAACTGTTTTAAAATTAAGATAACTAGTAAGTTTTATTTAGCTTTCAAAAATAGGCATCTACATCATCATCTCTGCATACCTTTAGGAATTTCCTAATTCTTATTTCCCTTCATCTGTACTTTAACACATGCAAAATTGAAGGTTAGATTAAATATTTATGATTTATTTGTTTATCCTTGACTACATAAATTTCCATTTTATTGATTTTCCCTGCCTTATTTAAGAATATGCTATGATTAAAACACAAAAAATTTTAGTATAACCCATATATATATAGAATTCACCTTTTTGTTATTTAAATATTATTGGCTTATTTTCTTCTAAGTAAAATACAATTACTGGCTAAAATAATTGAAATAAGCAAAAAAAAAATTTTAAAGACCTTGTATACAAGATTACTTTGCCAGGTACTGTTAAAAGATGCAATGACATTTAAGACGTAACATCCTTAAGGATCTTATTTTCTGGGGGATAAAAAACTTTAAGATAAATTAGAATAAAAGATTTAAATGGCATTTTAAGGTACCAGGTACCAGATAAGATGTCACAAGGCTGTATATCATTAATTGCCAAATGATTTATACAGGCCAGATTTCTTTGTTGGTCAATAGAGGTTTAAAGTGATGAACTTCTGTTGTGTTTTTTTATTAAGAAGGTATTATCTTATTAGTAAGAAGTGATTTTTTTTAAGAACAAGCATTTTATAACATCAAAAGAAATCAGTAGTACTCTTTCCTACCCCCTCATATTTATTCTGAAAGTATTCAAGCATTATATTGTCATGTAAGAAACTGGAGCTTCTCATGTTTGTATTGCTGTAGAAGTAAACATGTATTTGCCATGCGTCATCAGGGAAGTTGCACTCACCGTCCAAGAACTTTTGTTAAAGTAAATCTTGGAATAGGTAGCTCATTTGAAATGTAGAAAAAATTAAATCCATATCTGAATTTTGTTTATATGTATGTACACGTAAACTAAAAACGTATTTAAAGCTAGTATTAGATGAGAAAAGAGGTTTTTTTACTTAAAATTTTAAGGCAAAAGTAGTTTATCTTAGATCTTGTGAGATTGTATTTTTGGTTTAAAATTTGAGAATTTGAGTGAAGAAAAATCATGTGAATGAAAATGCAACAGATAACTCAGATTGCCTTATAATAGTCTTTGTGTTTACCTTTATTCAGAATATCAAATGATAGTTTATTTTGTTGACTTTTTGCAAATGTTTAACATAGGTGACAGATTTTCTTTTTTAAAAAAATAAAACATCATTAATTAAATATGTCATTTCATTTCTTTTTCTTTTCTTTTTTTTTTTTTTTAGGACAAAATGTTTCACTTTTGGGTAAATACATTCTTCATACCAGGACCAGAGGAAACCTCAGAAAAAGTAGAAAATGGAAGTCTATGTGATCAAGAAATCGATAGCATTTGCAGTATAGAGCGTGCAGATAATGACAAGGAATATCTAGTACTTACTTTAACAAAAAATGATCTTGACAAAGCAAATAAAGACAAAGCCAACCGATACTTTTCTCCAAATTTTAAGGTCAGTTAAATTAAACATTTTGTGGGGGTTGTTGACTTGTATGTATGTGATGTGTGTTTAATTCTAGGAGTACAGCTGATGAAGAACTTGCTTGACAAGTTTTTAACTTATGTATTATTTCGAAGCAGTGTTTACGTAGCAGTAACATGAAAGTTTCTAATAAAATACCCAATGTACACAGCGTCAAAAAAGCTGCATTTTTCCTTTTCCTAATTCTTCGTTGTTTGCTGAAATCTGGGGCAAAGGTGCGGGAGGGGGCTAAATGACTGGGATATGAAGTAGGAATGGGAGAGGAAAGAAATAGATGGGAACTCAGTCATTTGGGAATGATTCATATGGAATGTTTTTACTGCTTCCACTCCTGTCTGCCTTCCAATTTATTCTCAATCCCTCAGAGTGATCTTAAAAATAGACTTGATTGTGTCACTTCTGTTTACACTTTATAAGGACCTTGTGTTTTTTTTTTTACCATGACCTACAAGGCCCAGCATAATTTAGCACAGGGCTACCTCCTACATCAGCACTAGTCACCTTCTCTCCTTGTTTCTTGAGATTCAGTCATACTGGTCTTTCTTCAGTTCTTCAAAATGCTAAGCTTCTGCCTCTTCTAGTCTTTCCAGTTATTTTCCTTCTCCCTGTACCTTTTCATCTCAGCCTTTTCCCCTGACCTTCCATAGCTATCTTCATATTTCCAGCCTTAGCTTCAATCTCATATTCTCTGAAGTCCTTTGATTGTCCTCCCGTTATTCTTTTTTTAAAAATCCTATTTCCTTATATTGTATCTTAGAATTATTTGGTTTGTTTCATTTTTGCCTATGTGTGATATATGTATTTCTACATAGGTATATATATCTACTTATAGACAAGAATTCTTCAGATTAAAAAAATCTGATTTGTAAACATTCCCAAGTGGTTGTTTACCATTTTTTTCTTCCCCCTTCCTATTTCTTATTCTACCTGATTTTCCCCTGTTCATTCACCACACTCGTTTCTTTCTCTTTTTTACTCTCTCTTAATTTTTCATTCAATTTTTATAACATGTAATAAATCTAACTGTAGCGTCTGAGTATTAAGAATATTGCTAGTAATACTTCACCTGTAATCCCAGCACTTTGGGAGGCTAAGGCAGGCGGATCACTTGAGGCCCAGGAGTTTAAGACCAGCCGGCCAATATGGCGAAACCCTATCTGCACTACAAATACAAAAATTAGCTGGGCATGGTGTCGCACACCTGTAATCCCAGCTACTTGGGAGGCTGAGGCACAAGAATTGCTTGAGCCTGTGAGATGGAGGTTGCAGTGAGCCGAGATCACACCAGTGCACGTGCACTTCAGCCTGGGCAACAGAGCAAGACTCTGTCTTAAAAAAAAAAAAAAAAAAAAAATATATACACACACACACACACACACACACACACACACACACTATTACTACCAATATACATACATATATGTATGTATGTATGTATGTATATTGGTAGTAATAGTAATACTTGGGCCCCTGCACGTTTTAAGTGAAAATAGATCTAATATTAAATGTCTTTAGCCCTTAAATTTTTTTTAAGTGTTCAGAAGTTTCCCTTTAAAAAAATTTTTAATATATAATAATTGTACATATTTATGGGATACAGAGTGATATTTTCATGTATGCAGTGTGTGATGATCAAATCAGGATAATTAGCATATGGATCACCTCAAACATTTGTCATTTCTTTGTGTTAGGAACATTCAAAATTCTGTCTTCTAGCTATTTGAAAATATACAGTAAATTATTGTTGACTAGTTACAGTTCTATAGAACACTATAATTTATTCCTCCTGTGTGTAATTTTTTATCTTTTAACCAACATCTCCCTATCCTCCCCTCCCACTCCCTTTCCCGGCCTCTAATAACCACACTCTTATGAGCTCAACTTTTTTAGCTTCCATATATGAGTGAGAACATACGGTATTTATCTTTCTGTACCTGACTTATTTTACTTAACATCATGTCCTCCGGGCTAGACATTCTCTTTAGAATCCACAGGTTTCCTTTCTTTTCTCTAAATCTGCATTTTGCTCAGCCATTAACTTTTAAAATGTCTTTTTCCCTTTAGTTTTATTGTTTTCTATTTTAATATTGCAAGATGTTTTATATTTGTGATTACAAATAAAAACTCCATTATTAGTAAACAAATACAATGTCATATAGTAGTAAGTGCTATAAAAAATAGACAGGATAGAAAGTAATCTTGGTTTGTATGTTTTTTGTTTTTTAGCAAAGATGATTAGAGAAGGCCCAACCAAGCAGATAACATTTAAGCAGAGGCCTAAATCATATAAGTGAGTTATACAAATATCTGGGAAAAGAGTTAAGAGTACAGATGCAAAAGCCCTTAGACAAGAGAATGAGCTTGGTATATCTGAAGAGTGGATAAGTCATTTTGACTGAAACAGAGTGGACAAGAAAACCAGTCCAAGTGTAAAGACACTAGTGTGTGTTCAGCATAGGAAGGATGTAATCTGAATTTTGTGTTTAATATTCCCTGTGTTCATGCTTTCAAAATACAGATGAGTGAGGAAAGTAGGGAGAAGGGGTAATAAAGGAAGCTGAGAGATCAGTTAAGAGGTACTTGAATAGTTTAGTAAAGATGAGAGAAGATGTTTGCTTCTTGTTGCCCCTCACTGCTTAGAATAGTGGCAGTGAAGGGTAACAAGAAGCTGTCAGATTAACTTAAAGAGTTTACTGATGCAGTGGATGTTGGTTGTAAGAGAAGAATTGATAATGACTCTTGGATAATAGGGGAGGGAGGGGCTGTCAATATAATATAATGAAGAAGGGATTTGAAGTCATTTCTGATTTAAATCTCACATCCACTACCTACTTTTAATAGATATGTAGCCTTTAACAAGTTCCCTAACCTTTCTGGGCCTTAGCTACCTCCCCTTGGAAATGGAAATACCTAACATGTAAGGTTGTTTTGACAGTTATTTTCACTAGGCATGTAAAGGCACTTGACTCTCTGTTATAGACCACTGTATTATGTTAATGTCCCTCTCCTTCCTCCCTTTAGGTAAAGTTTTTAGGGCTAATAAATCCCAAATATCAATGTTGATCAGTAGTTTGTGTTTGTGTAGTGTTGTTTATATCAAAAACTACATTGAAGCCGGGCACAGTGGTTCACGCCTAAAATCGCAACACTTTGGGAGGCCAAGGTGGGCCTCCCACCTTGAACTAAGGAGTTTGAGACCAGCCTGGGCAACATGGTGAAATCCCATCTCTACAAAAAATATAAAAGCTAGCTGGGTGTGGTGGCATGCACCTGTAGTCCTAGCTACTTGGGAGGCTGAGGTTGATCCTGGGAGTTTGAGCCTGCAGTGAGCTGTGAAGATGCCACTGCACTCTAGTCTGGGTGACAGAGCAAGACCCTGTCTCAAAAACACACACACACACACACACACACACAAAGAAATACATTGATTTTTCACATAGGTAGTAAGAGAAACATTCTTTTTGAACTCAGCTGTTTGTGAATTGAATTTTGTAATTCAAATGCTATATTATGTAAACTATTGATGACTTTCAATCTGCATTTATTTTGTATAATTATTTAGTTAATATTTGCCACTTATATTCCTTAAAAAATAAAATTGAGGTTGGGCGTGGTGGCTCACACTTGTAATCCCAGCACTTTGGGAGGCTGAGGCAGGCAGATTGCCTGAGCTCAGGAGTTTGAGATCAGCCTGGGCAACATCATGAACCCCATTTCTACTAAAATACAAAAAATTATCTGGGCATGGTGGTGTACACCTGTAGCCCTAGCTGTTTGGGAGGCTAAGGCACGAGAATTGCTTGAACCCGGGAGGCAGAGGTTGCAGTGAGCCAAGATCATGCCACTGCACTCCAGCTTGGCAACAGAGCAAGACTCTTGTCTCCAGAAATAAAAATAAATAAATTGTATTAACATCCTGATAGTTTATCTGTTTAGTACCTAGCAAGAAAGAAAATGTTGAACATCTTAAGAAGAGGGTCATTTAAAAGGCCTCTTAAAGATCATGTTTGTTACAGTGCTTAAAAATTAATATGTTCATCTGCAAAATGGAATAAAAAATCTGTTAAAAATATATTTCACTAAATAGTTTAAGATGAGTCATATTTGTGGGTTTTCATTTTAAATTTTCTTTCTCTAGGTGAAGCTGTACTTCACAAAAACAGTAGAGGAGCCGTCAAATCCAGAGGCTAGCAGTTCAACTTCTGTAACACCAGATGTTAGTGACAATGAACCTGATCATTATAGATATTCTGACACCACTGACTCTGATCCAGAGAATGAACCTTTTGATGAAGATCAGCATACACAAATTACAAAAGTCTGAATTTTTTTTTATCAAGAGGGATAAAACACCATGAAAATAAACTTGAATAAACTGAAAATGGACCTTTTTTTTTTTAATGGCAATAGGACATTGTGTCAGATTACCAGTTATAGGAACAATTCTCTTTTCCTGACCAATCTTGTTTTACCCTATACATCCACAGGGTTTTGACACTTGTTGTCCAGTTGAAAAAAGGTTGTGTAGCTGTGTCATGTATATACCTTTTTGTGTCAAAAGGACATTTAAAATTCAATTAGGATTAATAAAGATGGCACTTTCCCGTTTTATTCCAGTTTTATAAAAAGTGGAGACAGACTGATGTGTATACGTAGGAATTTTTTCCTTTTGTGTTCTGTCACCAACTGAAGTGGCTAAAGAGCTTTGTGATATACTGGTTCACATCCTACCCCTTTGCACTTGTGGCAACAGATAAGTTTGCAGTTGGCTAAGAGAGGTTTCCGAAGGGTTTTGCTACATTCTAATGCATGTATTCGGGTTAGGGGAATGGAGGGAATGCTCAGAAAGGAAATAATTTTATGCTGGACTCTGGACCATATACCATCTCCAGCTATTTACACACACCTTTCTTTAGCATGCTACAGTTATTAATCTGGACATTCGAGGAATTGGCCGCTGTCACTGCTTGTTGTTTGCGCATTTTTTTTTAAAGCATATTGGTGCTAGAAAAGGCAGCTAAAGGAAGTGAATCTGTATTGGGGTACAGGAATGAACCTTCTGCAACATCTTAAGATCCACAAATGAAGGGATATAAAAATAATGTCATAGGTAAGAAACACAGCAACAATGACTTAACCATATAAATGTGGAGGCTATCAACAAAGAATGGGCTTGAAACATTATAAAAATTGACAATGATTTATTAAATATGTTTTCTCAATTGTAACGACTTCTCCATCTCCTGTGTAATCAAGGCCAGTGCTAAAATTCAGATGCTGTTAGTACCTACATCAGTCAACAACTTACACTTATTTTACTAGTTTTCAATCATAATACCTGCTGTGGATGCTTCATGTGCTGCCTGCAAGCTTCTTTTTTCTCATTAAATATAAAATATTTTGTAATGCTGCACAGAAATTTTCAATTTGAGATTCTACAGTAAGCGTTTTTTTTCTTTGAAGATTTATGATGCACTTATTCAATAGCTGTCAGCCGTTCCACCCTTTTGACCTTACACATTCTATTACAATGAATTTTGCAGTTTTGCACATTTTTTAAATGTCATTAACTGTTAGGGAATTTTACTTGAATACTGAATACATATAATGTTTATATTAAAAAGGACATTTGTGTTAAAAAGGAAATTAGAGTTGCAGTAAACTTTCAATGCTGCACACAAAAAAAAGACATTTGATTTTTCAGTAGAAATTGTCCTACATGTGCTTTATTGATTTGCTATTGAAAGAATAGGGTTTTTTTTTTTTTTTTTTTTTTTTTTTTTAAATGTGCAGTGTTGAATCATTTCTTCATAGTGCTCCCCCGAGTTGGGACTAGGGCTTCAATTTCACTTCTTAAAAAAAATCATCATATATTTGATATGCCCAGACTGCATACGATTTTAAGCGGAGTACAACTACTATTGTAAAGCTAATGTGAAGATATTATTAAAAAGGTTTTTTTTTCCAGAAATTTGGTGTCTTCAAATTATACCTTCACCTTGACATTTGAATATCCAGCCATTTTGTTTCTTAATGGTATAAAATTCCATTTTCAATAACTTATTGGTGCTGAAATTGTTCACTAGCTGTGGTCTGACCTAGTTAATTTACAAATACAGATTGAATAGGACCTACTAGAGCAGCATTTATAGAGTTTGATGGCAAATAGATTAGGCAGAACTTCATCTAAAATATTCTTAGTAAATAATGTTGACACGTTTTCCATACCTTGTCAGTTTCATTCAACAATTTTTAAATTTTTAACAAAGCTCTTAGGATTTACACATTTATATTTAAACATTGATATATAGAGTATTGATTGATTGCTCATAAGTTAAATTGGTAAAGTTAGAGACAACTATTCTAACACCTCACCATTGAAATTTATATGCCACCTTGTCTTTCATAAAAGCTGAAAATTGTTACCTAAAATGAAAATCAACTTCATGTTTTGAAGATAGTTATAAATATTGTTCTTTGTTACAATTTCGGGCACCGCATATTAAAACGTAACTTTATTGTTCCAATATGTAACATGGAGGGCCAGGTCATAAATAATGACATTATAATGGGCTTTTGCACTGTTATTATTTTTCCTTTGGAATGTGAAGGTCTGAATGAGGGTTTTGATTTTGAATGTTTCAATGTTTTTGAGAAGCCTTGCTTACATTTTATGGTGTAGTCATTGGAAATGGAAAAATGGCATTATATATATTATATATATAAATATATATTATACATACTCTCCTTACTTTATTTCAGTTACCATCCCCATAGAATTTGACAAGAATTGCTATGACTGAAAGGTTTTCGAGTCCTAATTAAAACTTTATTTATGGCAGTATTCATAATTAGCCTGAAATGCATTCTGTAGGTAATCTCTGAGTTTCTGGAATATTTTCTTAGACTTTTTGGATGTGCAGCAGCTTACATGTCTGAAGTTACTTGAAGGCATCACTTTTAAGAAAGCTTACAGTTGGGCCCTGTACCATCCCAAGTCCTTTGTAGCTCCTCTTGAACATGTTTGCCATACTTTTAAAAGGGTAGTTGAATAAATAGCATCACCATTCTTTGCTGTGGCACAGGTTATAAACTTAAGTGGAGTTTACCGGCAGCATCAAATGTTTCAGCTTTAAAAAATAAAAGTAGGGTACAAGTTTAATGTTTAGTTCTAGAAATTTTGTGCAATATGTTCATAACGATGGCTGTGGTTGCCACAAAGTGCCTCGTTTACCTTTAAATACTGTTAATGTGTCATGCATGCAGATGGAAGGGGTGGAACTGTGCACTAAAGTGGGGGCTTTAACTGTAGTATTTGGCAGAGTTGCCTTCTACCTGCCAGTTCAAAAGTTCAACCTGTTTTCATATAGAATATATATACTAAAAAATTTCAGTCTGTTAAACAGCCTTACTCTGATTCAGCCTCTTCAGATACTCTTGTGCTGTGCAGCAGTGGCTCTGTGTGTAAATGCTATGCACTGAGGATACACAAAAATACCAATATGATGTGTACAGGATAATGCCTCATCCCAATCAGATGTCCATTTGTTATTGTGTTTGTTAACAACCCTTTATCTCTTAGTGTTATAAACTCCACTTAAAACTGATTAAAGTCTCATTCTTGTCATTGTGTGGGTGTTTTATTAAATGAGAGTTTATAATTCAAATTGCTTAAGTCCATTGAAGTTTTAATTAATGGGCAGCCAAATGTGAATACAAAGTTTTCAGTTTTTTTTTTTCCTGCTGTCCTTCAAAGCCTACTGTTTAAAAAAAAAAAAAAAAAAAAACATGGCCTGAGAGTAGAGTATCTGTCTACTCATGTTTAATTAAGGAAAAACACTTATTTTTAGGGCTTTAGTCATCACTTCATAAATTGTATAAGCACATTAAATAGCGTTCTAGTCCTGAAAAAGTCCAAGATTCTTAGAAAATTGTGCATATTTTTATTATGACAGATGTTTGAAGATAATTCCCCAGAATGGATTTGATACTTTAGATTTCAATTTTGTGGCTTTTGTCTATTATTCTGTACTCTGCCATCAGCATATGGAAAGCTTCATTTACTCATCATGACTTGTGCCATATAAAAATTGATATTTCGGAATAGTCTAAAGGACTTTTTGTACTTGAATTTAATCATGTTGTTTCTAATATTCTTAAAAGCTTGAAGACTAAAGCATATCCTTTCAACAAAGCATAGTAAGGTAATAAGAAAGTGTAGTTTGTACAAGTGTTAAAAAAATAAAGTAGACAATGTTACAGTGGGACTTATTATTTCAAGTTTACATTTTCTCCATGTAATTTTTTAAAAAGTAAATGAAAAAATGTGCAATAATGTAAAATATGAAGTGTATGTGTACACACATTTTATTTTTCGGTATCTTGGGTATACGTATGGTTGAAAACTATACTGGAGTCTAAAAGTATTCTAATTTATAAGAAGACATTTTGGTGATGTTTGAAAAATAGAAATGTGCTAGTTTTGTTTTTATATCATGTCCTTTGTACGTTGTAATATGAGCTGGCTTGGTTCAGTAAATGCCATCACCATTTCCATTGAGAATTTAAAACTCACCAGTGTTTAATATGCAGGCTTCCAAAGGCTTATGAAAAAAATCAAGACCCTTAAATCTAGTTAATTTGCTGCTAACATGAAACTCTTTGGTTCTTTTATTTTTGCCAGATAATTAGACACACATCTAAAGCTTAGTCTTAAATGGCTTAAGTGTAGCTATTGATTAGTGCTGTTGCTAGTTCAGAAAGAAATGTTTGTGAATGGAAACAAGAATATTCAGTCCAAACTGTTGTAAGGACAGTACCTGAAAACCAGGAAACAGGATAATGGAAAAAGTCTTTTAAAGATGAAATGTTGGAGCCAACTTTCTTATAGAATTAATTGTATGTGGCTATAGAAAGCCTAATGATTGTTGCTTATTTTTGAGAGCATATTATTCTTTTATGACCATAATCTTGCTGTTTTTCCATCTTCCAAAAGATCTTCCTTCTAATATGTATATCAGAATGTGGGTAGCCAGTCAGACAAATTCATATTGGTTGGTAGCTTTAAAAAGTTTGTAATGTGAAGACAGGAAAGGACAAAATAGTTTGCTTTGGTGGTAGTACTCTGGTTGTTAAGCTAGGTATTTTGAGACTACTTCCCCATCACAACAACAATAAAATAATCACTCATAATCCTATCACCTGGAGACATAGCCATCGTTAATATGTTAGTGACTATACAATCATGTTTTCTTCTGTATATCCATGTATATTCTTTAAAAATGAAATTTATACTGTACCTGATCTCAAAGCTTTTTAGCTTAGTATATCTGTCATGAATTTGTAGGATGTTCCATTGCATCAGAAAACGGACAGTGATTTGATTACTTTCTAATGCCACAGATGCAGATTACATGTAGTTATTGAGAATCCTTTCGAATTCAGTGGCTTAATCATGAATGTCTAAATATTGTTGACATTAGGATGATACATGTAAATTAAAGTTACATTTGTTTAGCATAGACAAGCTTAACATTGTAGATGTTTCTCTTCAAAAATCATCTTAAACATTTGCATTTGGAATTGTGTTAAATAGAATGTGTGAAACACTGTATTAGTAAACTTCATCACCTTTCTACTTCCTTATAGTTTGAACTTTTCAGTTTTTGTAGTTCCCAAACAGTTGCTCAATTTAGAGCAAATTAATTTAACACCTGCCAAAAAAAGGCTGCTGTTGGCTTATCAGTTGTCTTTAAATTCAAATGCTCATGTGACTTTTATCACATCAAAAAATATTTCATTAATGATTCACCTTTAGCTCTGAAAATTACCGCGTTTAGTAATTATAGTGGGCTTATAAAAACATGCAACTCTTTTTGATAGTTATTTGAGAATTTTGGTGAAAAATATTTAGCTGAGGGCAGTATAGAACTTATAAACCAATATATTGATATTTTTAAAACATTTTTACATATAAGTAAACTGCCATCTTTGAGCATAACTACATTTAAAAATAAAGCTGCATATTTTTAAATCAAGTGTTTAACAAGAATTTATATTTTTTATTTTTTAAAATTAAAAATAATTTATATTTCCTCTGTTGCATGAGGATTCTCATCTGTGCTTATAATGGTTAGAGATTTTATTTGTGTGGAATGAAGTGAGGCTTGTAGTCATGGTTCTAGTGTTTCAGTTTGCCAAGTCTGTTTACTGCAGTGAAATTCATCAAATGTTTCAGTGTGGTTTTCTGTAGCCTATCATTTACTGGCTATTTTTTTATGTACACCTTTAGGATTTTCTGCCTACTCTATCCAGTTGTCCAAATGATATCCTACATTTTACAAATGCCCTTTCAGTTTCTATTTTCTTTTTCCATTAAATTGCCCTCATGTCCTAATGTGCAGTTTGTAAGTGTGTGTGTGTGTGTCTGTGTGTGTGTGAATTTGATTTTCAAGAGTGCTAGACTTCCAATTTGAGAGATTAAATAATTTAATTCAGGCAAACATTTTTCATTGGAATTTCACAGTTCATTGTAATGAAAATGTTAATCCTGGATGACCTTTGACATACAGTAATGAATCTTGGATATTAATGAATTTGTTAGTAGCATCTTGATGTGTGTTTTAATGAGTTATTTTCAAAGTTGTGCATTAAACCAAAGTTGGCATACTGGAAGTGTTTATATCAAGTTCCATTTGGCTACTGATGGACAAAAAATAGAAATGCCTTCCTATGGAGAGTATTTTTCCTTTAAAAAATTAAAAAGGTTAATTATTTTGACTATTCGGTTTTAAACTTTTTATTCAACAAATACCAAGTCCCTGCTGTATATATGGGTTTGGAATACATTAGTGATCAAAACACACCCTCTATCCCTGCCCTTGAAGAGTTTACACTCCAGTAGAGGAAACAGAATTTACATTAACAATTATAAATTGTGATACATGCTGTGGAAAGTGAGGTGCATGTGATAATGGTTATCAAACATTATGCTCCCCAAAATTTCCATCACCTTGCAGTTGAATGAGGCCTATGTAACTAGTTTATTCTAATGTAATACAGAAAGTAGTGTGACACTCCACTTTCTGTAAAGGCAATGAAAAAAATTTACCATCCAGTTTCTCTCTTCCCCTACTGCTGTGATTAAGGATTTTGCATGTTCTAGATGGTGCAGCTTTGTCAGCCTGGGTCTTGAGTGATACTGGAGCAGAACTCCCTCAAATTGTTCCTTCTGCCACGCTAAACTTGTTAGATATTAGCATAAATAAGAAATAAACCATTTAGACTGATACTTTGGGACAATTTTTTATCACAGTGTAAGTTATATCCTGACTAAAACAGTGCTTTGGAAAGATCAGGGAAGGGTTTCTTGAGCTACAAAAGGGAGTTAAGAATGAAGCAAAATGAAATATGGCATCTTTAAATGACATGATGCAATAAACTCTAAATTGCAAGTTATTCAATAGTTACTGAGCACCAGATATGTGTCAGACACTGTTCTAGATGCTTGGGATACAAGTGGGTGAACAGCAGGACCTTGCCTTCATGGAGCTTACATTCTAGCAAGGGAAAATAGTCAACATACTATATGTAAGGTAATGCGTGCTATAGCAGAAATGAAAGGTAAGGGAGCTCAGGATTGCTGGGTGGAGAGATTTCAGTGTTGAATGGTGTAGTCCAGAACAGGCCTCACTGGGAAGGTAAGATTTGAAGACTGCTGACTAACAGTGGCATTGGGATTTTCCTTCATTCTTTCAACCAGCGAGATGCACTCAGAACCCTCTATACAATTTTATTCTCACTTTATACAACTCTGTACATTAGTTCTGAGTTTTTAAGATGATTGTTGGCATATCTAGGGAGAATTTTTAGGAATACCACCCAAAATAGTCGCAATGTTCTAAAACCATTTTGTTTTCTAAATTGGTTTGGCAAACTCTATACAAACAGTCTGTTCCTTTTCATTCTCCAAGTTGAGTTTTTAAATTTAAATTATACTCTTTGTGCATTTTGACAATACTTACCTCTTTTCAGAAGACATTAAAGTTCTGTTATGGCCTTAAAACATTTCTGTAAAGCTGAAAGGAAATATCATTTATGATTTATTGATGGGAAACAGTTACAAATTTTGAGTTACTTGACAAACAGAAGGGATGAAATTTATGGCCTAGTGTTGTGTTTTCATTCTTAACCCATAAGCAAAAATCTCTGGAAAAGTACCAATATCTAGTAAAAGAAATATTTTTTCACAAAAAGTATTTTCTATTTTCCCCTCACCTCTTACCTCGTCTCACCTCAAAGTTCAAGAAGCTTAACTTTGTGATCAAAGGAAAATAGTATAATTGAATATTTGATACTATAGAAATTTGCAACTGTATAAGGGCATTATTAACCTTTTGCTAGTGATCAGTTTCCTATCAGGGCAGCCACATAAAATTAGGCATGACACTTTAAAAGAAAATGTTGACTCTTAACTTTTCCTCCTCTAATGCTTAATTTTAAAATAGATTTAAGCAACTTTAAAGACATTTTCCTGAGCAACTGCATTTTGTTTTCATTCTGAATTTAATGAGACTCTTTTTTTCTTTAACATTTTACTTTGCTTTAGAAAGGATTTAAGGCAGGTGAATGTGTTTCCCAGTGTGAGAAAAATTGTCATGTAAATTTAGAAAAAAGTATTGTATATGTCCCTTGATTTTGGCTTAAGAGTTAGAATTTACTTAGAATGTTTCCTGACCCAACCTCATTGGAATTTGAAAGTACATTCCAATAGTATTGTGAGCTGCTCCTTTAAACATTGGTAAGTAGGCTTCAAACTTAATTTTCAAGGAAATAAGCCATGCTTTTACTGTAGGGTTTATTAATCTGAAATACCTGAGAATGAAAATAGTTATATGCTCCTATCTAATAATATAAACAGTTAAATGTGACCTGTAAATATTGTGAAATTTAGCAAAAATATAACCTGTAAAAATAATCTCTAGTAAGCTAATATTCTCTCAGTAATAAAACCTAGAGAGCTAAAGTAGCCCAATTAACTGACATTAGAACAGATCGTGATATGTGGAAGAACTATTAGTGAATTATAGTCATGTTTATACTTCTCTTTTCAATTATAATCATGTCCTTGAGATCTCATTTTCCAGTCCTTATTACCTATAAGGAAGAGAAATATATGTAAATTTCACAAATGCATACGAAAATTACCAAACTTCTTAAGTGTTATTCGGTATTTCTGCAGAGATATCATTAACAGGAAAGCCCAATATTTTACATGGTTATCTTTAACAATGGAAGTACAGTGGTTGTTTAATTAATTAGCTAATACTTCATTTACTGTGTATAGTCATAATTCATAAGAATAATACATATGTCTTTTAGGATTATTAGTACTGTATATTAAATAAATGCTTGAAAGGGAAAATACCTTTTAGTGTTTGGTAAAAGAGTAGGCATAAGGTAAATTTTCCCTTCTGTTAGACTCAGCAGAACTATTCAATGTGTTTAGCTGTCCTTGGAGAAGACTGAGCCATTGTTGCTGTAAAAATCCAATAGGGTTAAAACAAAAATATCACTTTGAACATGATTTACTTGGCTAGGAGACACTTGAAGCTTTAAGCAACTCAAATCTTTCTCTAGAAAATTAAACACAATTCTACCTCAGAAAACTTGAAGACATTGACAATTCATAGGAATTCTGTGATAAGTCAGCTCACCTACCTAAAGACCAAAGTGAAGGCGCACAGCAAGAGAGGAAGCTGAAGTAAGGAGAGAAAAGAAAACAGAAGGAAAAGCATGGTAAGAGCCCAAATTAACTCTGACTACTGGGGGCTGCTACAGGGGATGGGAAGAGAATAGCATTGTTCTGAGCCCACAGTGTGTGTCATGCTGCAGTAGTCAGTTCACAGGCTTGACCCATCCTTCAATGATTTTATCTCATTTTATGCACAAAGACTGAAAGGGAACTTAAATCATCCAGGTGTCTCTCACAACTAGTAAATAGAGAAGTGGATTTGAACCCACAGCAGTCTTATTTCTACCATATTATGCATACTACCTCTTAAACAGAATCAAGTTTACAAAGCAAACAAAAAAGTCTGGCCAGGTTTGGTGTCTCACACCTGTAATCACAGCACTTTGGGAGGCTGAGACAGGAGGATTGCTTGAGCCCAGGAGTTCAAGACTAGCCTGAGGAACATAGCAAGACCTTGTCTCTACAAAAAAGTTAAAAAATTATCCAGGCATGGTGGTGCATGCATATAGTCCCAGATACTTGGGAGACCGAGCTGGGAGGATTGTTTGAGCCTGGGAGGTTGAGGCTACAGTGAGCCATGATCTGTGCCTTGCACTCCAGCCTGGGCGACGGGGTGAGACCTCATCTCTTGAAAACAAGTCTAAAACAACTCACAGGTAATGGAGTCATGACAAATTTTTTTTTTGTTTACTGACACAAGAAAAGCAAGCTAACACAAGGCATAAATCCTGCAAAATGAACAGCAAAGAAGATAAATATTTAACAATTGTTCAAGCTACAAATGAGAAAATTATGTATCTTGCAACATTCTTGACAGGTAAGATGATAAGATGTTGGTATATATTTTTATATCAAAACCCAGAATTACAGTTCTTTGATTTGCTAGTTTGGTATAAAATCCATTAAATAAACTTGTGCCTTATTTTTGCTTGAACTAGAATGCCCAGACTGTTTAAAGTGATTGGTTCTCAGTTAAATAGGCCAACCGGCCACCTAACAAGTATTTGTTGCATGCCTGCTGTGTCAAGTTGGAATACAATAGTGGAGAAGTGAGAAAAGGCCATAGATTTTACATTTTAGAGTGGGAAAACAGATTTTATACAGAGAGTTGAGCAAGTGTGATGGCTTGATGTAGGAACAAACTTGGTCACTTAGGAAAGCGTAAGAAGAGAAAGGCTAGAGCAGAGTAAGTGATGGGAGATTGATGTAAGATAAATTTTGGAGAAGTAGGCAGGAGAACTTCTGGTTTCAGCCAAGGTGGAATAAAACCACTAAATTCTGTCCCCTACTGATGACAACCATCAATAAACTTTTTCTACACTGTTTTATTCAAACTCATTAGTTTATCTTATTCTTTGAATAGATCTTTTACCCCGGCCTGATTTTGTGACATCATCGATGAGTCATTTGGAAAATACAGGTTCACTGAGTTTTGTAGATTTTCCAGTGTTGACACATTTCATTATGCAATGCAGAAAAACAAATCACATTTAAAAAAATATCACAACACTTTTTTAGAGCTGACAAGAATAGTCTTTAAATATTTGGAAGAAGGCAGATGATGAAAGAGAGTCAAAACTTGGAAAAGCAACCTATATTAGGGATGTTTCTTTTCTTCTATTGTCTTAACAGCTTCGCCCCAAGGGTGGGCCCCACTTGTGGAGCTGCACAACCACGGTGACTTGAGCAGCTCACACTGAGATAAATCAAGCTTTTTGGCCAGAGGAACCAGAAAAAGAGTCTCCTGTGGGCCAGTGGCCATGGAGTATGAGGGTGGGGGGAGGGTTGGGGAAATCCTGAAGACAAGAGAGCTGGAAAAGGGAATCCTCTAATTCTCAGTTTGAACTTCTACAAGTCCTGGGCTCACTCCTGAGCTTGCATGCACAGGACAGACCAAAGAAGCATAGCAAAGGCTTTGAAAATGAAACAGATTGGAATTATCACTCATAAATGATGAGACAAAACTTGCAGCCTGAGCCTAATCGAGTGGATTGCCTGAATCAATTGATCAATCAATCATCAATCAAACATTTTCAGAAAATTTTAACAGGACCCAGAGTCTATGCAACACAGTATCCAACATTACTTAACTAGGAAGAACCGGAAAAATGTGACAAATTCCCAGGGAAAAAGTCAATCAAGAGATGGTAACCACAAAATAACCCAGATGTTGGAATTATCAGATGTAAAAACAGCTATTGTAATTATGTTTCATGAGATAAAGATAAACACACTTGGAATGAATGGAAAGGCAGAAGTTCTCAGCAAGGACACAGAAATTATAAAAGGAACCATGTGGAAATTTTACAACTGAAAGGTACAATATCTGAAATAACATACTAGATGGGCAATAGAAGAATGGAAATGACAGAAGAGTCAGCAAACTTGAAGATAACTTTATAAATATCCAATTCTAATCATGGCTTTAGAGTCTTAAAGGTGGATGAAGCTTCGAAAAGTGAAATATATCTGATTGTAATAAGCCTCAGGGAGCCTGAATAAAATACTAATCCAAGTGTATCTATGTGGCTCCCACAGATACATTTGAAGAAGTTCCTGTTGTTTGTCAATTACATTAAGTAAAGGAATTAGCATTATCACAGGTCCAAACATGGTGATTATGAGAATTTGCTGTTACAGTGTTACACAGTCTTAATACGTCAAAACAGCCCAAGGTGATGTATGCATTGACAGAGTTTTCTGGTTGGGTCCATTAAGTGTATACCTGCAGTAAAAAGCAATTTAAAATTTAGCAAAGTCATCACTAGATCACTGACACACTCATCCTTAGAGACAGTACATGGTAATTGCTTCGCTCACCTGCTCATATTAACACTTTGATTCAGCCTAACCCTTCCGATTCAGCCTTTGCAACAGCACTGTTTCCAAATGTGACGTTATTACAGAGATGTCATACAAAAATTGACCTATCATGTAGGCACAATGCATGCTTTTCAATATTACAGCAGAAAAAAAAATGTGATATTTAATGCTGCTAGTGCCTAGGAATCTGGTATGAGAAAACATTAAGATGAGTTTGGAGGAAAACTGAGCTGGTATTATGTTTGGAGAAATGACTTCCTGATTCAGAAAGAGAATTTCAAGACTTTAGAATGCCTCCCATTGTTATATTAGAACCATATTACTTGTAAAAGGTAGTATAAATTTTTGTAATGGTGATAATTCTGGGTTTAATAGTTTAACAAGTTTTGCCATTTAATTCCCATAATATAGGAAGTACAATTATATCCATCTCATACACAAGGAGCTATGGTACAGAAAGGTTCAATAACTTGTTGAATATAGCAGATCTAGTAAATGGCAAAGTCAGGATTTAAATGTAGGTCAATTTGATTGCCAAGCCTGGGCCATTTACTACTGTGTTATATATGTTACTTCCTATAAAAACTTAACAAGAAGGTCTTTCATTTTCAAACCGAAATGGACAGAACACTGGTGTAAGCAGTGTTCTGAAGCTTTTGGTCTCAGGATTCCTTTACACTCTTAAAACTTACTGAGGATCTCAAAGGGCTTTTGTTATTGATATTTACTACATAAGAAATGAAAACTGAGACATCATCTGATTATTAAAAAAACAAGCTAATCACATGATAATATAAATAACATTGTAGCGAAAATAACCATGTATTCTAAAACAAAAATGTTAGTGATGAGGTGGTGTTTTGTTTTTTTCATTTTTCTGAATTTTTTTTTTTTTTTTTTTTTGAGACTGAGTCTTGCTCTGTCACCAGGCTGGAGCAGTGGTGCAATCTCGGTTCACTGCAACCTCCGCCTCCCGGGTTCAAGTGATTCTCCTGCCTCAGCCTCCCGAGTAGCTGGGATTACAGGTGTGTGCCACCATGTCCACCTAATTTTTGTAGTTTTTAGTAGAGATGAGGTTTCACCATATTGATCACGCTGGTCTCAAACTCCTGACAGGTGATCCACCCACCTCGGCCTCCCGAAGTGCTGGGATTACAGGCATGAGCCACCACCCCCAGCAGACATACTTCATTATACAGTGCAAAAAAAGTCACATTTTAAAAATATCACCACCGAGCTCACCAGGATAGTCTTTACATATTCGGAAGCTGTCAAGTTCATGGTAGCAGGTATAAGATTTTAAAAATACTAATTTTGGCTTAAAAGCTTGAATTTTATCACTTATAACCCACAGGGGTCATGGGCCACACTTTGAGGATCACTGGTGTTAGAGGTTTGGTTGGAGAGACGCAAGTAAGAGAACATTTCCCTAACATGCCCAAACACATTCCTTTTCAGAGTGCTGAAGGAATTTGAAAATGAGGTCTCAGAATTACCAGCAGTAATTCCTGATAAATTAAGAAAAATGGGAGAGAGTTCAGAGACAAAGACATGAGAAAAGATTGCCATAACTCTCCAGAAGGATGGATTCTGGGTAATGAAGGCCAGTATGTTTAACACTGATTCCCAGAAAAAGACTTTAATATATTCAGTAGCAGTTAGTTTAAGAACATTAGAAGATAATTCGGTGATTACCAGATGTCAATGAGGGCTAGGTAGGTCATTTCAAAGCCTTCTCAAATTTCATTTTTTCTTTATGATCACCTGTCACAGTGCTTTACGTGATGTACATACAAAAATATTTGCATAACTGTATAAAACAGTTGAATAATAACTGTATAGCATATTGCTTATATAAACTGCACAAATCTCATTTGAATAAAAACCATTTATAAAGTACTTGCAGTATGCAAAATGTGTTGGGCAAAGGGCAGGTCTGAGAGGCACACACGAGGAAAACTAAAACAGAACAGAAGTCTAATGGTATTTTCAAGTGTTATAAAATATGTGAAGTCTGCCTTGTGAGAGAAGGTAGCATTGGCTTGTGGAAAGAGCATAGCACAGGAAATTAGAACATCTGGTTGCTCATCCTGGCTTTACCATCAACTTAATGAATGACCTGGAGTAAGTTACTTCACTTCGAGACCTATGCTCTATATCTGCAATATTGAAAATGCTGGATAAGATAATCTCTAAAGCCCCAGAAAAAGATGGAGTTGTACTCTTTCACTCCCAGGAACATATACTGGAACTTATGAGTAGAACTTTGGAGAGACCAAGTTTGCCTCACAATGAGTAATATTCTAGTTCTGCACTGTCGTATAGTGACTTCAGTCACTAAGCTACATGTCTCTATGGAGCACTTGAAATGTGACTGGTTCAAAGTGAGATTTGCTGTAAGTATAAATTACACATCAGATTTTGAAAACTTAGTATAAAAAGTAGAAGGCAAAATATCTTGTCAATTTTTTACATTGATTACATATTGATAATATTTTTGATATAGTGAGTTAAATTATATATATAAATTTTTTTTTTTTTTAGATGGGGTTTCACTCTGTCGCCCAGGCTGGGGTGTGGTGGTGTGATCTTGGCTCACTATAACCTCCACCACCCAGGCTCAAGCCATCCTCCCACCTCAGCCTCTCAGGTAGCTGGGACCACAGTTGTGCACCACCATACATGGCTAATTTTCTGCATTTTTGGTAGAGATAGGGTTTCACCATGTTGCCCAGGCTGGTCTCGAACTGCTGAGCTCAAGTGGTCCACCTTCCTTAGCCTCCCAGAGTGCTGGGATTACAGGTATGAGCCACCTCCCAGTCTAAATTAATATATTTTAAAAACATTTCACCTGATTTCTTTTACTTTTTAAGATATATATGGCTAATGGAACACTTAAAATTACATATATGGCTCATATTATATTTCTACTGGACAGGGTAATTCTAGCTAATAGAGTTTCCAACAAAATAATAATAACTTGAAGAGGAACCTAATTTTACTTTTCATTTTGCATTTTGAGGTACACAAGCAGAGACTGGGTCATAGTTCTGACAAGAGGACCTCACAGAAGACTCCATTTGGTGTGCATTTGATCTAAATTTGTGTTCTCAATCTGTGCTCAGATGAATGCTTGGGCTCCAGCAGCACCCAGATTTGTCATAGGGGAAGGAGGAGGAGGACAAAGAGGTCTTTCTGTCTTCCCTTCCTCTTTCAAACAGAGAGCTGATCAGTATGTATTACTGAATAAATGAATGAGTGTACAAAATATATTTATGTATTTCAGGTAAAATGGATGAAGTTTAGGGTTCAGGCTTTGGACCAGGTCTGGCCGCTGGTTTAATTCTTGGTGCCACTGTTTACTAGCTCTATGACCTTACTTACTCCCTCTGTGCCTCAGTTTCTTCATCTGTAAATGTGGGGTTTGCATGTACAGTTTTGAATACAGTATAGTATATTTCCCTAGAAACATGGCTTGCTCCTAAACATTTGGCAATGCTATTGCATAAATTAATCTTGCAAGACAAAACTACACACAACAAGAAACTCTTATCTTGCCTGTAAACAGGTTGTTAAACATGTTCTCACTTCCTTCTGTCACCACCTGTACAGCATGTTTTTGAAGGAATTCCACAGTGCTTGTGATTAAAGCAAATTTGTACACTGCCTGGACACCCTTAGCAACTTGATCTTATGGTAGAAGAACAATTTGTGGAGATTTGGAGACTTCATATTCAATAAGGACCTGTTAGGGGCAAAGTGATACAAGGTGCCTTCTCTTTACTTTTGCCTTTCCCATCCAAACATGACCCTGAACATCTGGCAGCATGAAAAGGGGACATGCTTATCCAATACACCTGCTAGCTGACTGCCAGGATTCTAAAACTTAGGTCCAAATGGTGAGTAGTGTTTGCTTTTGTAATCTAACACTAGTTGACATCCTACTACAGTTCTCTTCCATTCCACAGACTTTCTTTCTTATTTATTTATTTATTTATTTTTGAGACAGAGTCTCATTTCGTAGCCCAAGCTGGAGTGCAGTGGCGTGATCTCGACTCACTGCAAGCGTTGCCTCTGGGCCTTAAGTGATTCTCCTGCATCAGCCTCCCAAACACCTGGGACTCGAAGTGTGTGCCACCACACCCAGTAAATTTTTTTTTAATTTTTAGTAGAGACGGGGTTTCACCGTGTTGCCCTGGATGGTCTTGAACTCCTGAGCTCAGGCGATCCATCTGCCTCGCCCTCCCAAAGTGTTGGAATTACAGGCGTGAGCCACTGGATCCAGCTTCCACAGACTTTCTTTGCGCTGCTTGGTCCAACCCTCGCACCTCTTTTATTCTCAGAAACTTCCTTTGCCTTCTACTGAATAGAGAAAATTAAGGCTATCATGCTGCCTGGACTGCTTCAACATCCTGTCCTTCTTTTCTCTATTATCAACCAACTCTCTACCTCCCTTGACCTGCCTCCCTCTCATTTTAGAGGAAAAAAATATTTCCTTTCTTGGTTTTTTTTTTTTTTCCCCAAGAGGGAATTTCGCTCCTGTTGCCCAGTCAGGAGTGCAATGTCACGAGTTCGGCTCACTGCAACCTCTGCTTCCCGGGTTCAGGTGATTCTCCTGCCTCAAGCCTCCTGAGTACTTGGGATTACAGGCATGCACCACCATGCCCGGCTAATTTTTGCATTTTTAGTAGAGACAGGGTTTCACCATGTTGGTCAGGCTGCTGTTGAACTCCTGACCTCAGGTGATCCGCCCACCCCAGCCTCCCAAAGTGCTGGGATTACAGGCGTGAGCCACCGTGCCTGGCCTCCCTTCTTGTTTAAAGCTAACTTTTCTACAGTGCTCTTTCTTTCCCAGGACAAAGATTGTGTTTTATTGGATTATCTCTTTCTCTTCTTATTTTCAACATTTGACTCTCTTTTGGATCATTTCTTGGAGTTGAAAAATATTCTTAAATCTCTCCATTTTTATCAATAAACAGAGAAAAAAGAAAGCTTTCTCTATCTTGTATTCTATTTAGTTATCACTCTCCTCTTTCTCTTAAAACTCAAGTTCAAAAAGGAAAATCTACCCTTGTCTCTACTTCCTCACATCTCATTCACTAATTTTTCTATTTGTAATATCTACTATTTTAATTTAGTTACAAATGCACATATGTGAAAGAATATATGTAAAATAATATATTTAATATCAATTTGGATATATTCTATACCCCCCTGACCCAATCATTTCCACTGACCTTTTCCTTCCCTCCACCCCAATCACCAGCTCCCATTGTAATAGGCTTGATTCTGCCATTTCCAGTTAGCAAAGATCTCGCAAACCTGTGTTTTCCAGCATCCACCTCTCTATCACCTCCAGAATTTTCACTCACTTATTTTTTTTTATTTTTTTTTTTTATTTTTTTTTTGAGACGGAGTCTCGCTCTGTCGCCCAGGATGGAGTGCAGTGGTGGGATCTCGGCTCACTGCAAGCTCCGCCTCCCGGGTTCACGCCATTCTCCTGCCTCAGCCTCCCAAGTAGCTGGGACTACAGGCGCCCGCCACTACGCCCGGCTAATTTTTTGTATTTTTAGTAGAGACGGGGTTTCACCGTTTTAGCCGGGATGGTCTCGATCTCCTGACCTCGTGATCCGCCCGCCTTGGCCTCCCAAAGTGCTGGGATTACAGGCGTGAGCCATCGCGCCCGGCCCACTCACTTATTTTTATACTACTTCTACTTCAGCATATTTAAACCTCATAAGTCTTAAAGTCCACTGAACCTAACTCTTTTTCATTATTCATTTCCCCTCTTCTATCCTTACATATGTTCCTACCCATTTCCTGGTTCATCATTATAATCACTCTCTTATAGCACATTATTAATTTCTTTGACACTCTCTTTCTCACTCATTTGCCTGGCAAATCTGAAATTGTGTATGTGCTACTGTATGCCTACACCTCAGCAGGGTGAAACACAACTGTGCTTTTTGGTCTCACTGGATGTTAATCCCCAAATATCAAAAATAGACATCACCACCCCACAGTAGTCTTACTTTTTCCTGATACTTTTCCTGGTACATTTACTTTCGCATTCTCTAAGATAACAATTTTATGACTTCTCACTCTTCAAACTTCCAAAACTGTGATCAGTGACTCAAACTTACATTTTATACACATCACCATGGAAATTATCACATGGAAACACTCACATCTTCTTACCACAGAATCTACTAACCTATCAGAATCAGTACCATGCTCCGTGCCTTTCTTCTTGTTACAGTCAATGAGTGATTTTACTCATTTCAAAGACCAATCTCTTCATATTGAATTATATCTCTTCTAGTGGTTTAAAACCTTTTTAATGCAATCATTTTCTCTAATTAGCAATTCTTTTCTTTATACTTGCTCATTCTTATTACCATACAAGCTCAAGTACTTCTACCACATAAACTCCCAAATCCTTAATACACCATACAAAACCTTCCATCATCTGGCTGCTCTTATCTTTCCATTTTCATCTCCCTGTGTCCTACTTTCCAGTTTCCATACAATTTGTCAAATGATTCTTCTGCTATGTGTGTCTAGGCCTTTGGTTACATTCAGTGCACAAAAAGCATGAAAATATGACCATAATCAGGAGGAAACCAATAATCCATTCACGATAATGCCCAGCAAACTAGGAATAGAGAGGAACTTCCTCAACTTGATAAAGAACGTCTACACAAAACCTGCTACTAACATCACACTTGATGGTGAGAAACCAGATGCTTTTCTGCTAAGATCAGAAACAAGGCAAGGATGAACTCTTTCACCACTGCTTTTAAATATCATCTGGAAGTCCTCGCTAATGAAATAAGAAAAAAGGAAATGAAAGATGTGTAGACTGGGAAGGAAGACATGAAACTGTTTTTGTTTGTAGATGACATGATTGTCTATGTAGAAAATCTGAAAGAATCATTAACAACAATGATAACCTTCTGGAACTAATAAGTGATTTTAAGAAGGTTGCAGCACGCAAGGTTAACATACAAAGTCAATTGCTTTCCTATATACCACCAATAAACAAGTGGAATTTGAAATTAAAAACACAATACCATTTACATTAGCACCCCTGCAAAATAAAATACTCAAATATAAATCTAACAAAATATGAACAAGATCTATGTGAAGAAAACTATAAAACTTTTATGAAATAAATCAAAGAACTACAAAAATGAAGAGATATTCCATGATCATGGATAAAAAGTCTCAATATTGTCAAGATGCTAGTTATCCTCAACTTGATACACAGATTCAATGCAATCCAAATCAAAATCTCAGCAAGTTAATTTGTGGATATTGACAAAATGATTCTAAAGTTTATATGAAGAGGCAAAAAATCCAGAATAACAAACACAATGTTAAAGGAAGAGAACAAAGTTGGAAGACTGACACTACCTAACTTCGAGATTTACTGTAAATGTACAGTAATCAAGACTGTGGTATTGGTGAGAGAACAGACAAAATAGACCAATGGAACAGAATAGAGAGCCCAGAAATAGCCCCACATAAATATAATCAACTAATTTTTGACAAAGGAGCAAAGACAATGCAATGGAGAAAGAACAATCTGTTCAATAAATGGTGCTGGAACAACTGGACGTCCACATACAAAAAAAAAAATAAATCTAGACATAGGCCTTATATCCTTCACAAAAATTAACTCAAAATGAATCATAGACTTAAATGTAAAATGCAAAGCTATAAAACTCCTAAGATAAAACAGAGAAAAAAAACTAGGCTGGGTGAGGTGGCTTACACCTGTAATCCCAACACTTTGGGAGGCTGAGGTGGGCAGATCACTTGAGGTCTGGAGTTCAAGACCAGCCTGGCCAACATGGTGAAACCCTGTCTCTACCAAAAATACAAAAATTAGCTGGGCATGGTGGCATGCACCTGTAGTCCCAGCTACTCAGGAGGCTGAAGCAGGAGAATCGCTTGAACCCGGGAGGGGGAGGTTGCAGTGAGCTGAGATAGAACCACCACAGTCCAGCCTGGGTGACAGAGTCAGACTCTGTCTCAAAAAAAAAAAAAAAAAAAAAAAAAAAAAAAAAAAAATTCTAGGTGACCTTGGGTATGGCGATGACTTTTTAGATACAACACCAAAGGTATACTCCATGAAAGAAATAATAAGCTGGAATTTATTATGTTAAAAACTTCCGTTATGTTTTTATATCTTCACATAAACACATAAACAGTCAAAAGAATGAAAAACAGTCAAAGAATGAGAAAACAAAGCCACAGAGTGGAGTAAAATATTTGTAAAAGACATACCTGATAAAGGACTATTTCCAAAATATATAAAGAACTACTAGGTTTCAACAATTAAAAAAGAACAACACAATTAAAAGTGGGCAAAATATCTAAACAGACACTTCATCAAAGAAGATATACAAATGGCAAATAGGCATATGAAAGGATACTCAGCAGCATATGTTATTGGTAAACTGCAAATTAAAACGAGATACCACTATAACCTATTAAAATGGCAAAAATAAATATCCAATGCTGGTGAGCATGTGGGGCAAAAGGAATTCTCATTCATTGCTGTTGGGAATGCAAAATGGTACACGTACATTGAAAGACAGTTTGGAAGTTTCTTATAAAACTAAACACACTCTTATCATAACCATATAATCCAGAAATTGTGCTCCTTGGTATTTACCAAAATCAGTTGCAAACTTATGTCCACACAAAACATACACATGACCCAAATGAGTTGCAAACCTACGTCAACACAAAAGCCCGCTCATGAGTCTTTACAGCAGGTTTATTCATAATTGTGAAAATTTGGAAGCAACCAGGATGTCCTTCAGTGGGTGAATGGATAAATAAACTGGGATGCATCTAGAAAATAGAGTATTATTCAGTGCTAACAAGGAATAAGCTATCAACTCAGGAAAAGACATGGAAGAACATTAGATGCATATGACTGAGTGAAAGAAGCCAATCCAAAAAGACTACATACTGTATTACTCCAACTATATGACATTTTGAAAAAGGCAAAACTATGGAGACAGCTTAAAGATCAGTGGTTGCCAGGGATTAGGGGTGAGGAAAGGATGAATCGGTAGGGCACAGAGGATTTTCAGGGCAGTAAAATTATTCAGTATAACACTATAATGGTAGATACATCATTACACATTTGTCCAAACCCACAGCATATATAACACCAAGAGGGAATCCTGACATAAACTAAAGACTTCGGGGTCATAAGGACGTGCCAGTGTTAGTTTGTTGAGTGTAACACATTTATGACTGTGGTGTAGGCTGTTGATAGTAGTGGAGACTATGTGTTTGTGGGAGCAGGGCTATATTAATGCTTTCTGTTCAATTTTGCCATGAATCCAAAAACTACTCTAAAAAATAAAGTCAATTATTGAAAAAAAATCAACCAATAAAAAGACACAGAAATAACAGAGATATTTTAAAGAATATTACAGTTATTATAAATCTTATATGTTAAAGGATGTAAAACAAAACATCAAAATAATGAAGAGAAAAATGGAACAGATAAAAATACAAATAGAAGTTACAGAGCTAAAAAATAAAATATCTGAAATAAAAGTACCGAATGAGGTTGAGGTTAAGAGCAATGTAGACACTGCAGATGAAAGATTAGGAAACGCAAGGGCATGGAAACAGGTGTTATCTAAAATACAGCAGAGTGGGAAAAGACTGAAAATAAAAATGACTAGAGCTTCAGTGAGTTGTGGGACAAAATTATATAATCTAATCTACAGGATTGTTTTCACAAAAGGAGAAGAGTAGGGAGAACTGAAATAAATATTCAAGGAAGTAATAGCCATAAAACTTTCAAATGTGATAAAAATTATAAGCCCATAGATTCAAGAATAAACATAAAGAAAACCACATCAAGGTATATCACAATCAAATTGTTGAGAATCAGTGATGAAGAGAAAAACCTTAAAAAGAAGGTGGGTGGGGTGGGGGAAAGGCACCATCTTCATCTGTTTTATGATGTTATAGCTGAATACCTGAGATGGGGTATAATTTATAAAGAACAGAAATTTATTTCCTACAATTCTAGAGGCTTCCCAGCCTCTAGACCTCTTGGACTTCCCAAGGAAAAGGTGGTGGCAGGTTTGGTGTCTGGTGAGGGCCTGGTCTCTGCTTCCAAGATGTTTTCTTGAATGCTGCATCCTATAGAGGGGAGGAACTCTGTTTCTCACATAGCAGAGTTGCTTAAGAGAGAGAACCCAGCTGGGCGCGGTGGCTCACCCCTGTAATCCCAACACTTTGCGAGGCCGAGGCAGGTGGATCACCTGAGGTCAGGAGTTTGAGACCAGCCTGACCAATATGGTGAAACCCCGTCTCTACTAAAAAAAAAATACAAAAATTAGCCAGGCATAGAGGTGTGTGCCTGTAGTCCCAGCTACTCAGGAGGCTGAGACAGGAGAATCACTTGAACCAGCAAGGTGAAGGTTGCAGTGAACTGAGATTGCACCACTGCACTCCAGCCTTGGTGACAGAGCGAGACTCTGTCTCAAAAAAAAAAAAAAAAAAAAAAAAAAAAAAAGGGAGAGAGAGAACCCATTTCCAGAACCCCTTTTATTAAGGCATTAAACCCACTCATGAGATCTCTCAAAGGCCCCACTCATCAATACCATTACATTGGCAATTAAATTTCAACACGAATTTTGAAGGGGACCAACACTCAAAGCATAGCAGATATCTTATAGAGAAACAAACATAAGAAGAGCAGTTTTCTTGTTGTAAACCATGTAGGCTACATGACAGTGGCATGATATCATTTTAGAGCTAAAGGAAAAAAGGTCAACCTAGCAATCTAAATCCAGGGAAAATATCTGTCAAAAATGAGGGGAAATGAAGACTATTTCAGAATAAAGGAAACTAAAAAATCAATTGCCAGAAAACTTGAAGAAGGAAAATGATATCATATTTGGATCTACACAAAGAAGTAAAGAACACCAGACATAGTAAGATTGTAAGTAAATATAAAATAAAATTTCTCTTATTTTTTAGCCATCTTAAACATAATTGTATTAGTCAAGATTTTCCAAAGAAACAGACCCAGCTGCATGTGGATCGATGGAGAGATAGATATAAATTTGTTTTAAGGAATTGACTCACAAAATTGTGGAAATTTGGTAAGTCCAAAATCTGCAGGGTAGGCTGGAAGACTAGAGGCTCAAGAAAGAGTGACAATTTTAGTCCAAAGGTAGAAGCTGTAATCCCAGGAGAGCCAGTGGTATAGTTCTAGTCCAAGTTTGAAGTCCTGAGAACAAGGAGGGCTGATGACATAAGTTCTAGTTCAAGGGCAGGAGATCATTGTCCCAGCTTAAAAACAGTCAGGCAGAGAGTGGATTCTCCCTTACCACTAACCATCCTTCCTTGATTCTATTCAGACTCCAGTGAATTGGATGAGGTGCATCCGCATTGAGGAGGTCAATCTGTTTTACTCAGTCTACCTATTCAAATGTTAATCTCTTGCAGAAACACCCCCAAAGACCATGCAGAATAATGTTTAATTAAACATCTGGACCCCCCATGGCCCAGTCAAGTTGACACACAACATTATTACAGGCAGTTTGCTGGCAGAATTCCTTCTTGCTCAGGAGAAGTCAGTCTTTGTTCTATTAAGGTCTTCATCTGATTGGATGAGGCACATCCACATTATGGTAGGTAATCTGATTACTCAAAGTCCACTGACTTAAATGTTCATCTCATCCAAAAAACACCTTCAGAGAAACACATCTAGAACAATGTTTGACCAAATATCTGGGCACTGTGGCCCAGTCAAGTTGACATGTAAAATTAGCCATCGCAATAATTGACTATTTAAAATAATAACAATGTACCATAAAATTTATAACATATGTAAAATTGAAATTTGTAATTTAAAATTGGTAAATATGAAGCATGACAAGCAATAGAAGGAAATAGAAGTATACTGTGGTAAGGTCTTTACACTATACTTGAGGTGGTATAAAATTACTTGTAGGTAGACTATGATTTGTTAAAGATGTATATTATAAATCCCAGGGCAACCACATCAAAACTAAAACAAAAAGGTGTAGCTGAATGCCAGGCATGGTAGCTCATGCCTATAATCCCAGCACTTTTGGAGGCCAAGGTGGGGAAGATCAGTTGAGCCCAGGAGCTTGAGACCAGCCTGGGCAACATAGCGGGACCCTGTCTCAACAAAAAATACAAAAATTAGCCGGCCATGGTGGCATGCACCTGTAGTCCCAGCTATTCAGGAGGCTGAGGTGGGAGGATCACCTGAGCCCTAGGAGGTTGAGGCTGCAGTGAGCTGAGATTGCATCACTGTACTCCAGCCTGGGTGATAGAGTGAGACCTCATCTCAGAAAAAAAAAAAATGTGTAGCCATTAGTGAAGATAAATGCTATCATAAAAAACAAATACTCAATCCAAAAGAAAGCAAGGATGGGGGAAAGGGAATAAAGAACACATGGAACAAATAGGAAATAGCAATAAGATAGATTTAAATTTAACCATATCAATAATTCATTATGTGTAAATGGTCTTAATACTCCAATTTAAAGGCAGAGATTGTTAGATTGGATAAAGAGAAAAACTATACTCAACTATGTGCTATAATGCAACTAATATTTCATATAAAGACAGGTTAAAAATTAAAACAATGGGAAAATATATACTATGCAACTACTTATCAAAAGAAATCTGGAGTGGCTTTATTAATATCAGAGAAGATAAACTTAAGAACAAGGAACATTACAAGTATTAAAGAAGGGCATTTTCTAATGATAAAGGGGTCAAGTCAACAAGAAGCCACAGCTATTTTAATTGTGGGTGCAGCTGATAACAGGGCTTTAAATATATTAAACAAAAGCTAAAGACCTGAAAGTACACATAGAAAACACTACAGTTATAGTTGGAGATTGTATTTGTAAATATAAAGTTAACTAAAATTAGGCAAAATTAATTTAATTTTCATTTATTTTGAATGTGTATTTCATTCATGGTTTAAAATCAGAAGGATATCTAGTGAAAGTCTTAACTACACTGTCACACATTTCTTAGCCAGTTCTCATTGAAAACAACCACTGTGACCATTTTTAAAATATTGCCTTAAGATATTTTACGTATATGTAAAAAATTTTATTCTTTTTCTTTGCTTTCTTTTTTTGACAGAGTCTCACTCTGTTGCCCAGGCTGGAGTGCAGTGGCGCGATCTCGATTCACTGCATCCTTCGCCTCACAGGTTCAAATGATTCTTGTGTCTCGGCCTCCTGAGTAGCTGGGATTACAGGCACGTGCAACCACACCCGGCTAATTTTTGTATTTTCAGTAGAGATGGGGTTTCACCATGTTGGCCAGGCTGGTCTTGAACTCCTGACCTCAAGTGATCTGCCCGCCTCGGCCTCCCAAAGTTCTGGGATTACAGGTGTAAGCCACTGCACCCGGCCCTCTTTTTTTTCTTTTTTAAAATTCAAATGGTAGCACACTATTCACATTTCAGAACTCCATTTTATTTTACCACTTATTAATGTTTTGATTCCATGACTGGTACATAAAACTCTAAGTAAGTTTTAGGGCTTGTCACTTTCTGCATAGCTCTGTGAATTCTTCTTTTGTATGCAATTGTGCATGCTATGGTTTGAAATTTTTAAACACGTTTCAGTGCCCCAGGGAGAGTGTATTCATTTTTTTTTAATTGAGATGTAATTCACACACTGTAACATTCACCTTTTTAAAGTGTACACTCGTGGTTTTTTGCTATACTCAGAAAGTGGTGCAGTCACCACCCCTTTCTTTTCCAAAGCATTTTCATCACTGTATCCACTAGCAATCATTCTCCATTTCCCTTTCCCCTATACTCTGAAACCAGTAATCTACTTTATGTCTCTACAGATTTGTTTTCTCTGGACAATTCATACAAATGGAGTCATATGATAATAGCCTTTTGTGTCTAGCTTCTTCACTTAGTATAATATTTTCAAGTTTCATCTATGTTGAATAACTTCATTCCTTTCTGTGGCTAAATATTTCATTTTGTGACTATATCATATTTTGTTTGTATTAAAATTTTAAACATTCTTCTTAACAATATACATCCTTGTATAATTCAATCAATACAGGACCAGGTGGCACTATCTAGTATACATTACAATAGAAGCCCCCTTAGGTTGTGAATTTGAAAAGGCCTATTTTCAATATATTACAATTTGATACTTTTTATAGGGATATTTAGACATGAGTTAAACACACTTAGGAGAATCAAGAAACCTTGCCACAGGTTTCTGGGAAAGATGGCAGTTTACATATAAGTTTCTGAAGCTTTTCTCAGAACTGGAAATGGCCAAGAGACTTTCAAAAAAACAAAATGCTCCCAACTAATTTGTTTTGAAACCAGGGAATGTTGCCAACCACATTCCACAAAATTCAAAGAATTTCTATTAGTTATGGTGCAATGAGCCCGGACTGAAGAGACAGAGAAAGGAAATCCTGGAAACCTAACTGGAACCCCTTAATTTAGAGAGAGGCTGAGGCAGAGTGGGAGATGTGGCTGTAAGAGCATAGCTTATACTGGGCCGGGCGCGGTGGCTCTCGCCTCTAATCCCAGCACTTTGGGAGGCCAAGGCGGGCAGATCACGAGGTCAAGAGATCGAGACCATCCTGGCCAACCAACATGGTGAAACCCCGTCTCTACTAAAAATACAAACATTAGCTAGGCGTAGTGGCGCACGTCTGTAGTCCCAGCTACTCGGGAGGCTGAGGCTGGAGAATCGCTTGAACCCGGGAGGCGGAGGTTGCAGTGAGCCGAGATCGCGCCACTGTACTCCAGCCTGGGCGACAGAGCGAGATTCTGTCTCAAAACAAAACAAAACAGCAAAACAAAAAAGAGTACAGCTTATAGTAACAAACAGTAAATTGAGTATTTTCTTTGATTCGTCTTCTCAGTAACTTAGGGCTTCACTTCAAGGAAAAGAAGGACTTTCCCAAACAGAACTATCAGTGCTCACTTTCCCACCAAGAGAAAGGGAATCTGTATCAAATGGTGGGTGTACCAAGAGCGACTATCAAACCAAAGAGCAATGGACATGGGAATCTACCTTCCTATGAGACAGGGTGAAATATAGAAGTCAAATAATAAAGATTATTTCCTCTTCCTCACCTGATCCCAGGCAGGCCTGGCCTCAGCTCTCTCCAATATTCTTTAGATTTCTTTTAGAACAGTTATGAGAAGACCATACATCATCAGCCCTCCAAATGGATCTAAGAGGCGATTTTTAAGTGGTGCCTAGGATTAATAAGGAGGCTCAGGAGAATACATACACACTATTTAGGGTAAGTATTCCAGTCCTGTGTTTACCTCCATATTTCTAAATAATATGTCAATACTCTCTTTGCTTTTTAACTTTAGAGATTATATTGGCTTCTCATTTTGGTAGTTGCTGTTTAGCACACATATCTCCCAAGCCCCAACTCTTATCCCTTTTTAATCCTCTGGAATAGTTATATCACTGTTTCTACTTAAATCACTATTAAATATTTTTATTAATGGACTAAATTAATACTGCTGTCAGCTTGGCCAAGCAGTGTACTGATTGTTTCTTTTTCTTATTCAACTTTCTGTTTTTCCTGTACATAGTAATTGCCTGATTTATTTTCATTTGTTCATTTCCTTGTACCTTGCAGCCTTTGCTAATTTTTCTTCCTTCTTTCAGTATGATGTCTGACATGGTCAAATCTGGCAGGAATCTATCCATTTCATTTATTTTTCTGAAGACCATCCTGTGATCTTCACTGATTACCCTCTAGGCCTGCTATCCAGCTGTCATTCTGGGACTTTCCTTTGCTTTTCTCCTGTGTTAGGTTCCCTATTTCCTGCCTATTGTATCCTCTTTCTTAGTTTAATCCCTATTTTCAGTGATGCTTATAATTCTGGAGCTTCCTGAGAAAAGGTGCAGAGGAAGTTAATTTTGGGGGTGACTTTGCATGCCTGAAAATATGTTTTTTTTTTTTTTTTTTTTTTCTAATTCCTGTAATCCCAGCACTTTGGGAGGCCAAGGTGGGTGGATCACCTGAGGTCAGGAGTTCAAGACCAGCATGGCCAACATGGCGAAACCCCATCTCTACTAAAAATACAAAAATTAGCTGGTGCTAATTACAGGCGAGCACCTGTAATCCCAGTTACTAGGAAGGCTGAGGCATGAGAATTGCTTAATCCTGGGAGGTGGAGGTTGCAGTGAGCCGAGATCGCACCACTGCACTCTAGCCTGGGTGAAAGAGACTCTGCCTAAAAAAAAAAAAAGATGTTTTTTTCTATTCTTATACCTATTTAAGAGTTTTAGTTAGGTACTGACTTGCAAGTGGCAGCTCATTTACTCATTTACCCTCAGAATTTAGAATACGTGTTCAATTTATCTTCCCTAGGTATATTTAGAAAATACTTAAATCGCAAATATTAGGTACCAGACACTGTTCTGCACGCTTATAAATACGAACCTACCTTATCCTCATAACAACACTATCATTACTCACAGAGTATAGAGTCAGGATTCAAACCCAGCAGCCAGGTTTCCAACCTTTCCCCTATGCTGCCACCTCTGATATAGCTGTTGTAAAGCCAAATACCATTTGGATTTCTGTCATTTCTATGGGACCTGTTTTTCTGTCTGGAAGCTTTTAGGATCTTCTTTTCATTTTTGATGTTCTAAAATTTTATGATAATGTGTCCTAGGGATCTTTTAATATTCATTGTGTGTAATTGTGGATCCTTTTAATTTATAGTTTTATGTCTTTTAATTCTGGGAATTAAGTGTGTGTATATAAAATAATTTCCCTCCCATTATTTTCTCTGTTCTTCTTCCTTTCTGGAACTCATCTTCTGGATTGATCCTGTTTTTTTCATCAGAGCTGCTGGCATTCATTACCACTCAGATGTGCCTACTAACATAGGCTTCATCAGAGGCTGGACTGATAATTTGATTGCAAAAAGCTTTCTCTTTTTTTTCTAAATTCTGGGAGGAAGTTTTCTGTATTATTATTAACAAGTCCTTAATTTCAAAGAAAAGTGAGGGATTTTCTTGGTTTGTATCTTCCAATTGCTCTATTGATTTTTAAAAAGTCATTGCAGTTGTATTTTTATTTCCAAGATCTCTTTCTTGTTCTCTGAATTTTTCTGTCTTTTTTTTTCTTTTTCTTTTTCTTTTTTTTTTTTTTTGAGACAGAGTCTCACTCTGTTGCTAGGATGGAGTGCAGTGGTGTGATCTCGACTCACTGCAACCTCTGCCTCCCGGGTTTGAGCGATTCTCCTGCTTCAGCCTTCCGAGCAGCTGGGACTACAGGTGTGCACCACCATGCCCAGCTTATTTTTGTATTTTTTAGTAGAGACGGGGTTTCACCATGTTGGCCAGGATGGTCTCAATCTCTTGACCTCATGATCTGTCTGCCTCGCCTCCCAACGCTTGTTGGGATTACAGGTGTGAGCCTCTGTGCCTGGCCGAACTTTTCTTTTATGTGGCTTCCTGTTGCTGATTTATACACACAATATATTCTTATCATTCTGAGAGGAGTAATTACAGTGTTTTAAATTTCAAGAGTTCTTCAGCTTTTATACTTTTTTTCCTCTTCAAGTTCCTTTTTACAGTTTGTTTGAATCTCTATTTTTATATTACTGTAAATGTCTGGAAATACTTGGTTGTCCATTCATATTGTGGCGCAAGAGATCCAAAATCCCAAGGCTCAATTTTCCATTTTTCTCCCTTTTTTATAGTACTGGATAACTCCATTTTCTGTGTCTTTTCAGGGTTAGGCAGAGTCAATCAACTTTCTTCTCATCAGTATCTCTCTGCAAGCACTTGTTTCACTTTCTACTGTTCCTATAGGTAGTTACTATCCTTCCACCTCTTTTCATCTTCATATTTTTGTTGGCTACAAATGTCTCTAGCATTCATTAAAGTTGGAATTTGTGTTTCTGTTCTCATTCTCTTTGTTGTTTGAAGGAGATTTCTGAGAGAAGTGTGTAGAAGTATCTTCATTTTGCCATTTTAAATGAAAGTCGACCACTGTTCTTGAAACACCTTTCTTTCTTGGCTTCTGTGACTCCACAGTCTTTGGGTCCTCCTTACATCTCTTCCTTCTCTACTACATGTCTAAACTTTGGAGTCCCTTAGGTTGTGGTGTTTGGCTACCTACTCATCTCCCTCTATACTTCTACCCAAGGTGCTCCAATCCATTCATGTTAAATACCTCTGTATCCTGATGACTTCTCAAGTTTCTATTTCCATCTACTATTTCTCCACAGAGTCTCCATGTTATCTATTTTTCACATGCATCTCAAGCTTAACATGTCCAAAACTGAATTCTTGATTTTCAGCCCTAACCCTGTTCTTCCCCTAGTCTTTCACATCTCAGTAAACAGCAGCACCGTCCACCTGGTTGTTCAAGCCAAAGGCCTAATATTTTTTTCTCCTTATTTAACAACCTTCTCTCCACCACATTTAATCCAATCCATTTAATCTAAGATTCTTATTCCAAAGTATAACTTTAGTCTTTCTCTCTTAATTCAAACTGCTATAATTTCTTACTGGGATTACTGACAAACCTTCCTAATTGGCCCTTGCTTCTCCTTTTTTCTTTCAACCCCATTCTTCAGATAGCAGTCCTAATAAACTTGAAGCATCGATCAGACCATGTCAGTCCTTTCCCCTAAAGATCCTAATAACTTCTCCTGGCATTTCCAAGAATGTCCAAGCTTGTACAACACTGGGAATGACCTGGTTTTTTCCAACCTCTTTATCTCCTGCAGAGTGATTAGGGTGGAGAGGAACTGGAGTGTTTCTGACCTCAGAGCTTTGCATGTGCTGGTATTTTTACCTTGTTCATTGTATTTTTTTTGAGACAGAGTCTTGCTCTGTCTCCCAGGCTAGAGTGCACTGATGTGGTCTTGGCTCGCTGCAACTTCTGCCTCCTGGGTTCAAGCAATTCCTGTGCCTCAGCCTCCTGAGTAGCTGAAATTACAGGTGTGCACCACCACGTCCGGCTAATTTTTTGTATTTTTAGTAGAGATGGCTTTCATCACGTTGGCTAGGCTGGTCTCGAACTCCTGACCTCAGGTGATCTGCCCACCCCAGCCTCCCAAAGTGCTGGGATTACAGGCATGAGCCACTGCACCTGGCCTAAATTTTATCTTAAATGGTACTTCTCAAGAGGTCTAGGGAATCACCCAAACAAAAGAGGTTCCCCAAAGTATTCTTTCTGATAGGACTCCCTTTTTCTTAAATGACTTTCCCCAGTTCACATTGGATATTTCTTTGCTTACTTGTTTAAAGATTTTTCACACTAGAAGATGAAACTGCAGGCTAGTGCTAAGATTTTTTTCTTTACCTTTATCTCAATAAATATATTTTGAAAATTATTTTATTTATCTATTTAAGATGGGATCTTGCTCTGTCACCCAGGCTGGAGTTCAGTGGCGTGATCACAGCTCACTGTGGCCTCCAACTCCTGTGTTCAAGCAATCTTCTCACCTTAGCCTCCCGAGTAGCTGGGACCATAGGTGCACGCCACCACACTAGGCTAATATTTTATTTTTAGAAGTGGTTTCAACTGTATTGCCCAGGCTGGTCTCGAACTCCTGTACTCAAGGGATCCTCCTGCCTCAGCCTCCCAAATTGCTGAGATTACAGGCATGTGCCGCTGCAACCCGTCTTATTTTTTAAATTAAATGAATGATTTCTAAAGTAAACAACAATGAAACGAAACAAAACAAAAAATGGGATATATAAAATATTCTGCCACATAAAAGTAGAAGATTACCATAGCATTCCCCAAACCAAAGGCTGAACATACTCCAGAAAAGACAGTTCAGTTTTAGGGAGCATTTGCTTAGAAATTTCAGGATACTTAAACAAATTATGATTTCTTTGAATAAGCGATAGAAGATGTTATGGTAAGACAACAGAATGAGAATAAAAAAGAAATGTAAGACTAAAATGTAAGGGAACAAGTAAGACCACAACAGACATTATAATGGCATATGAAGCAATGAAGAGTGGAATTACCACTGCAGAGAATCAAGCCAGTTAAATGAGATAAGTATAAGAAGCTTTGTAAGAACATAGAGGAAATAGGCAAGAAGACTAGAGAGTTAGAAGGAATATAAAAGATACAGGAGACAAATAATAATGGTGTAGCATGTGGATAATTGGTGATCCCAAAAGGGAGAGAACAAATAAAACAAAGATGTTTCTGAAAAAAACAATGATCCAGATATGCCTGTGGCTAATGTATAATTAATGACAAAATGAACAACACCTAGAATTGTCTTGGTGACGTTCTTGCCTTTAAAGTTTTATGGAATTATTCATTCAAAATTTAAATATAAGTAAATAAAACCTCTTGAAGTGAGAAATCATGGTATGGAAGGGCTAGTGACAGTAATAAGCCTTGAAACTATTCAATTTAGAACAGGGTACATAAAACTATGATAAACATCGTATATTAGGCCACTCTTGTGTTGCCATAAAGAAATGCCTGAGACTGGGTAGTTTATAAGCAAAGAGGTTTAATTGGCTCATGGTTCTGTGGGCTATCCAGGAAGCATGCTGCTGGTATCTGCTCTGCTTCTGGGGAAGCCTCAGGAAGCTTACAATTATGGCAGATGGTGAAGCAGGAGCAGGCACATCACATGGCACAAGCAAGAGCAGGAGAGAGAGAGTTGTGTGGGGGAGGTGCCACAACTTTTCAGTGACCAAATCTCATGAGAACTCACTATCATGAAGACAGTATCAAGCCATAAGGGATTTGTCCCCATGATCCAAATACCTTCCACCAGGCCCCACCTCCAACACTGGGGATTACAATTCAACATGAGATTTGGGTGGGGACAAATATCCAAACTATACCACATGGTTACCTAAAAGATTGCAAAAGTCACATTATTAAAAACTGCAGGTCAATATCCCTGATGAACTTCAATGCAAAAATATTCAATAAAGTACTGGCAGACTGAATCTAGCAGCTCATCAAAAGGCTTATCCACTACAATCCAGTTGGCTTCATACCCAGATGCAAGGCTGGTTCAATATATAAAAATCAATAAATGTAATTCATCACATAAACAGCACTAAAGACAAAAACCACATGATTATCTCAATAGACACAGAAAAAGCCTTCAATAAAATTCAACATCCCTTCATGTTAAAAACTTTCAGTAAACTAGGTATTGATGGAACATACCTACAAATAAGAAGAGCCATTCATGACAGACCTACAGCCAATATCATACGGAATGGGAAAAAGCTGGAAGCATTCCTCTTGAAAACCGGCACAAGACAGGATATCCTCTCTCACCACTCCTATTCAACATAGTATTGGAAGTTCTGGCCAGGGCAATCAGACAAGAGAAAGAAATAAAACGTATTCAAATAGGAAGAGAGGAAATCAAACTATCTCTGTTTGCAGATGACATAATCTTATATCTAGAAAACCCCATCATCTTAGCCCCAAAACTTCTTAAGCTAATAATCAACATCAGCAAAGTCTCAGCATAGAAAATCAATGTGCAAAAATCACAGGCATTCCTATACACCAACAATAGACAAGCAGAGAGCCAAATCATGAATGAACTTCCATTCTCATTAGATACAAAGAGAATAGAATACCTAGGAATACAGCTAACAAGGGAAGTAAAGGACCTCTTCAAGGAGAACTCAGACCACTGCTCAAGGAAATCAGAATGGACATGAACAAATGGAAAAACATTCCATGCTCACAGGTAGGCAGAATCAATATCATGAAAATGGCCATACTGCCCAAAGCAACTTATAGATTGAATGCTATTCCCATTAAATTACCATTGACATTCTTCACAGAATTAGAAATAACTACTTTAAAATTTATATGGAACCAAAAAAGAGTGCATATAGTGAAGACAATCCTAAGCAAAAAGAACAAAGCTGGAGGCATCATGCTACCTACTTCAAACTATACTACAAGGCTACAGTAACTGAAACAGCATGGTACTGGTACCAAAACAGACATATAGAACAATGGAACAGAATACAGAACTCAGAAATAAGACTGCACATCTACAACTATCTGATCTTCAACAAACCTGACAAAAACAAGCAATGGGGAAAGGATTTCCTACTTAATCAATGGTGCTGGGAGAACTGTCTAGTCATATGCAGAAAATTGAAACTGGACCCCTTCCTTACACATTATACAAAAATTAACTCAAGATGGATTAAAGACTTAAATGTAAAATCCAAAACTATAAAAACCCTAGAAGAAAATCTAGGCAATACCATTCAGCACATAAGCATGGGCAAAGATTTCAAGGTGAAAATGTCAAAAGCAATTGCAATGAAAACAAAAATTGACAATCGGGATCTCACTAAACTGAAGCACTTCTGCACAGAAAAAGAAACCATCATCAGAGTGAACAGACAACCTACAGAATGGGAGAAAATGTGTGCAGTCTATCCATCCGACAAAGGTCCAATAACCATAATCTACAAGGAACTTAAGCAAATTCACACTAAAAAGCAAACAACCCCCTTAAAATGTGGGCAAAGGACATGAATAGACACTTCTCAAAAGAAAACATTTATGTGGCCAACAAACATATTAAAAAAAGCTCAGCATTACTGATAATTAGATAAATGTAAATCAAAACTATGATGAGATACCATCTCATACCAGTCAGAATAGAGATTATCAGAAAGTCAAGAAACAACAGATGCTGGTGAGGCTGTGGAGAAATAGGAACACTTTTATGCTGTTCATGGGAATGTAAATTAGCTCAACCATTGTGGAAGACAGTGCGGTGATTCTTCCAAGACCTAGAACCAGAAATACCATTTGACACAGCTATCCCATTACTGGGTATATACTCAAAGGAATATAAATTATTCTGTTATAAAGATACATGCACACATATGTTCATTGCAGCACTATTCACAATAGCAAAGACATGAAATCAACCCAAATGTCTGTCAATGATAGACTGGATAAAGAAAATGTAGTACATGTACACCATGGAATACTATGCAGCCATAAAAGGGAATGAGATCATGTCCTTTGCAGGGACATGGATGGAGCTAGAAGCCATTATCCTCAGCAACCTAACACAGGAACAGACAACCAAACAGCACACCTTCTCATTTATAAGTGGGAGCTGAACAATGAGAACACATAGACACAGGGAGGGGAACAACACATGATGGGGCCTGTTGGTGGGGTGTGGGAAAGGGAGAGCATCAGGAAAAACAGCTAATGCATGCTGGGCTTAATACCTAGGTGATGGGTTGATAGGTGCAGCAAACCACCATGGCTCATGTTTACCTGTGTAACAAACCTGCACATCCTGCACGTGGATCCCAGAACTTTAAAACAAAAACAAACAAACAAAAAAAAAACCCATCACATTATCGAAAAAGAAGGATCACTGCGCAAACAATGATAATACTCTAAACATATACAGTGTTAACATTTACAATAATTTGCTGAGACAAAAGTCCCAAACCTTACCTCTCCCAACTGGCTAGATGGCAGGTAGAAGGGGAGGCCATAGGAGGAAGTATTTTTCATATGAAATGTCAATAGATACTCTTCAATTATAATATAGATTGAGAATATTGAAGGGAAGCATGGATTTAAGTAATTTTTTAAAAAGATAACTACTGGCAGAACTAAAACATTTCAAATTATTATCGAAGGAAAACACATCAGTGAAACAGATAAAAGTTAGAAAATAGTAATAAACATTTAAAAACACACAACAACATGACAGAAATAGGACCAAGTGTATATTACTTAAAAAAAATAAAAATGAAGTAAAATCACCTAAGAAAGAAAGAAAGTACCACACTGGGTCAAAAACGAAATCCAATAAGGTAATACCTAGAAGAGACATCTACAAGGAGTAACAAAGGAAGTGTAACCACTATTTATTGATTCAGTAGATCAATGAATCAAATTATTGCATGCCTACCATGTGCCTAGCACTGCTCCACATGCTGGGTTAAAAATGTAAGAATTAGCAAAACATGACATACAAATACAAACAAAAATAAAGCAGGAGTCCCAATTTTGACATAGGAGTATTTTATGTTCCTGTAAAAATCAACAAATAGGACAAAAGGATTACTGTTTTATTGCTGACATATAGAAACCTCAATAAATACCTAATTGTAGTGAAATTATGTACAATAAAAAACAACATAATGATAAAATACATAATGGAAAATCTGTTTGCGATGCGTGAAGAAAAAAATCTGTGGTGGGAGAACATTAGCATATTCCTGTGAGTCATTAACTAACCAAAGAGGAACAAATATGCATTATACTAGAGAAACTGAATAATATAATTAATGAGATTTATTTGAATATATAACAAATTTTATTGTTTGCCAAAAAACCTTTCTCCTTTTTTTTTTTTTGAGATGGAGTTTTGCTCTTGTTGCCCAGGCTGGAGTGCAATGGCACGATCTCAGCTCACTGCAACCTCTGCCTCCTGGGTTCAAGCGATTATCCTGCCTCAGCCTCTCAAGTAGCTGGGATTACCGGCGACCGCCACCATGCTTGGCTAATTTTTGTACTTTTAGTAGAGACGGGGTTTCACCATGTTGGACAGGCTGGTCTCGAACTCCTGACCTCAGGTGATCCACCTGCCTCGGCCTCCCAAAGTTCTGGGATTATAGGCATGAGCCACCATGCCCGGCCCAAAATCCTCCTTTTTGTGTCCACAGGACACTAAATGACAAATTCTTAATTCAAAATGACTCATGTATTTAATTTTATTTTAAAAATCTGTATCTGTAAACAAATATATTCATATAGATAAAAATAAAGCAAGATGGAGATTGCAGAATTAATGGTACTTTTACTGGGTGGTGGTATTTCTAGTTATCAATATTTTCCTTTTATGTATATGCATTTTCTAACATTTCTGCAATGAAGAGGTATATAATCATACATCTTAAAATTATACTTTAATTATAATTATAATTTAAAAAAGATAAAGGAGACAGCTGGAAAATCTATGCTAAATGAAGTATTAGAAGAGAGATGGACTGTCACAAAAGAAAGGTGATTAGTAGGAAGGAGGAAGTGTGCACAGAGGGAAGAAACCTTCAGCGTGTCTTGGGAAGCTTTATTAAACTACAAGAACTGAGAGAAATCCAAGAAAAATGCATTGTTAGTTCATATATGGAAAAGGAAGCCAAAGTGGTATATAACTAGAATGGAACTTCTCATCACAGGCAGAGCACGTTCCCAGAGCATACTGCAAAGTAAAGAACAGAAAGAGAAATAGATCTCAAAGGACTATAGATATTAAAATTAATGCTAACCCTGGAAGGATTATGTTACTATGCTGTTGATTTTGGAAAGTGAGGGAAATTTCAAGCCTCTTGAAATTATAAAAGACACAGTGGTATATTAACAAGAACCCGGTGGAATTGACATACTTGAGTCAGAATTCAAGGTTTGCCACTTAACCAGCTTGTAACCTCATTACTTAAAGGTCTCTTGCCCTCTGTTTTCTTATCTATAAAATAGAAAGATATGCTTTCTTTGAATGACTATACCGTTGAATCATCCAAAAAGCACATATACACATACATGTATGTACATATATATGAATATATGTATATATACACAGACATATGTAGCATCAGGCATAAGTGAATCCTGAGATGGTTAGGAAAAGCTTTCAAAAGAAATGGAATTGGATCTTGAAAGATTAATTTACTAATTAATATGTATTGAATACTTACCACAAGCCAGGCACAGGGGCCACTGAGGGAAACAATAGGAACGGCCACTGCCCTCAGGAAGCTTCTATTCCAGTGATGAGTAAGACTTTTTAAGGCAAAGAAGGTGCATCCCTGAGCTAGAGAATAGTGGAAGCTGGATTACATTCTATATGTCAAATACTGTAAAAACCTTGACCCAAATTGGTCTTAATTATTCACTAAAACCTTTAAATCACCCATTTACCTAGTATAGCAGTTTATGGGCAGAAAAATGTATTTACCCAACAAACAATGGCATGCTTCTGTAAACTCAGTACTCTGAGAGTCCTTTAAAGATAACATAATAAGAGCATGCGTATTATTTCTTTAAGAAACTCGTAGTGCAGTAGGAAAGTTAAGACATATGGAGCCATGTCTACAATGTAGTGCAAAATATTAGAGAAGGGACTAAGGTGGTGCATGAGAACAGAAAGGTTATGTTGGATAGGGAGGCATCATGGGAATTCCATAGAGGGATATTGGCATTCAAAATACACCTTGCAGGAAAGCCAGAATCTGGACATACTAATCCTTGGGCAGGAGGAAGTGTGATAGAGCACACTCCTGAGATATGAAAAGGGATGAAAAAAGGCCAGAGAAGAAAAATAAGTTATCAATAATCAAATAATTGGATTTGATTAGATTGATAATAATCACAGCATCATTTTTTTTCTTTCTACATAATTTCAAAGATTATGGTTTGGGCAGTAATAATGCAGGCCTATAGAACTGAATAGGTAATTATGGGACATTGGTAAAGATCAAATTCTTAAGTGTTAATTTCTTACTACCTATGATCAGCATTTCTTAAGACGAGTGGGAAATTAGGACCCACATGTTGAGTAAGATGTTCATGAGAATGTCAAGGAGCCTTGTCAACCTTGATGGACAACTGATGTTAAAAAGACAATAAAGTAATTCTCATAATTTAATGGAAAGAGATTGCTATTTAATGCCAGAAGAGGAAGAACTAATATATGCAAAGGCCTGTAGAAATGAGGAATATGAACAAAATAATCCCCTTTTTGTTTCAGGAAAATGTAAAGTAGTGCCCCAGGGACTGTTGGCAAATATTATCATCTTTGAAAGCTACTGCTTAACACAAATTCCGGGAAGCTGGAGGCTTCTGGGTAATGTGAATCACAAGGAAAGAATGCCCCATTTTGTGGCTGAAACTTTTAAATGGGATACTGGTTGATCTCAGTAAAGAAGTCTGGGGGTCAGAGTTAGTTTGGAAGAATTTTCAGCCTGTTGCTGTAGAGGCTGCTACACAGGGCCCTGACTTTGGTTTGCTTCTTTTTTGGCCTGTCTGATTAGAATGTTCCATGTGACCATCTGCTGTGGGAACCACTCACATCTCTAGGGACATGATTCTTTCTCCTCAATATATAGAATTATAACTGTTAAGAATTTTGCTGAAGATGTAGCTTAAGTAGGCACATTGGCTCACGCCTATAATCCTAGCACTTTGGGAGGCCGAGGCTGAGGTGGGTGAATTGCTTGAGCCAAGAGGTTGAGACCAGCCTGGGAAACATGATGAAACCCCATCTCTACAAAAAATACAAAAATTAGGCCAGGCATGGTGGTGCATGCCTGTAGTCCCACCTACTCGGGGTGCTGAGGTGGGAGGATCGCTTGAACCTAGGAGGCTGAGGTTGCGGTGAGCCGAGATCATGCCACTACACTCCAGCAAGGACGACAGAGCCGAACTCTGTCTTAAAAAACAAAACAAAACAACAAACACAGTGTAACAGGGTTCTACTCATTCTTTTAAATGAATATTTATTAAGCACTGATTGTATACATGGTTCCTGCCTTTGAGAATTTTTATTTCATTTAGTGGCAAAATATACATATTTCATATTTATATATATTGTGCATTTCACTGACTGGATCTTGAAAGAGAGAGAGCTATATAATATAAATATAACATTTAATAAATATAAAATATAAATTTATAAATAATAAATATATAAAATTTAATAAATATAAAATGTAAATATAAAATTTACCTTATATGTATCCTGATATGTGTATATATATCCTGATATATGTATATTTATGTTTTTTATATATATATGTATATATATGTGTGTATATATATATATATATTTTTTATTTATTTTTATTTTTTTGAGATGGAGTCTTGCTCTATCGCCCAGGCTGAAGTTCAGTGGCACGATCTCGGCTCACTGCAAGCTCCGCCTCCTGGGTTCACGCTATTCTCCTGCCTCAGCCTCCCAAGTAGCTGGGACTACAGGCACCCGCCACCATGCCCAGCTAATTTTTTGTATTTTTTAGTAGAGACGGGGTTTCACCATGTTAGCCAGGATGGTCTCGATCTCCTGACCTTGTGATCCACCGCCTCGGCCTCCCAAAGTGCTGGGATTACAGGCATGAGCCACTGTGCCCGGCCATATATATTTCTTTAAAGTAAAAATCCTGGCCAGTGCTAACTCATCATCCTACTTTAAAATAAACAAATATATATGTATATTGAGGTTGATATTTCTCTATATATTTATAAATATTTCTACAGAAATAAATATACATATATATACACACAAGTATCTAGTCAGTGAAATGCATGAAAAATGATTATAATGTGATCAGTGGTGTAGTAGGTCTCTATAGTAAATGCTATGGGAAGAGGCTGTATGAACCGCTTTGTGCTAGAGATAGCTTCAAAAAAGATATTATCTGAGCCTCTTTGTGAGGAATGGGAGGTTGGTGGTAGGAAAAGGCAGGGTGAAGGGTGGGGGAAGGAAAACACTTTGGGAGAGAGGGTAAAAGACTTGGATGGGCAAAGGCTTACACTATATGGTCAAGGAATTACAAAGAGCTCCGTGGGGTTAGAGCATCAATGAATGGGAATAATGCAGGACATGAGGCTGGAAAGAATTTGGGACCTGGCCAGGATCGGCCTTGTGCTTAGGATGAGGCATGAGCATTGGCCAGGACTGGCGAGAGTGTCATTGAAAGTTTCTACACAGATCTACGCCACGTGAAAATGTACTGAGCAAGAGACTGAAGAGAGGGAGGTGAGTTAGGAGGAGTAAAGAAAGGAGAAGACTTTCCTTTCTTTGACTTGCCACTGCATAGCAGACGGAGGGCAGGGAAACCTAGCAATGCCAACAATGTAGAATGTGTAGGATTTGGGGAACTAAATGTAAATGGTGAGGGGAGATAAGGTAATTCCCAGGGCGCCTGCTTGAGTTGAGTAAGTTGAGTAACCAATTGATAATGATGGTGCCATCTACTCAAGAAGAGTAAATTTGGTATTTTTCTTTGTGGTTGTCCCTATATGTTGATTTTTATTTTTGGCTGTAGTTCCAGAAGGTGATGGAATTCAACAAGCTGATGGGATTCAAAATGGAAAATGTTAAGCCTACCTAAATGGTGGCTGCCCCATTGCTGTTAGGGAGAGAGTAGATGGCACACCCATTGCTTTCTCCATTAGCAGCTTGCTTCCTAGAGAGACACAGATTATGCAAGCATAGAATAACAAGGCAAAGTGACAATTACAGAGTAGAGGTTGCTGAGCTGGGGGAGGAGTTAGCTTCCAACTTTGCTGGGGATAGAACCTGAGGTGGAGTGTTGCTAAAGGCTTCCTGTAGAAAGGGACTCTTTTTGTTTAATTAAAATTTTTTGTTTATAATTATTATTGGTACATAATAGTTCTATATATTTATGGAGTACATGTGATGTTTTGATATAGGCATACAATGTGTAATGATGAAATAATGATAATTGGGGTATCCATCAGCTCAAGCATAGACAAAATTTACTTCATGAACAACCTAAATGTCCATCAATAGACAAAAGGATAAAAAAATGTGGTACATATACATAATGAAGTACTATTCAGCCATAAAAAGAATGAAATCCTGTCATTTGCAACAACATGAATGGAACTGGAAGTCATTAAGTGAAATAAACCAGACACAGAAAGATGAATTTTACATGTTTTCACTCATATGTGGGAGCTAAAAATTTTAAAAACTGAATTCATGGAGATAGAGAGTAGAATGATGCTTATCAGAGACTGGGAAGAGTGGCAGGAGTGGAGGATAAAGTGAGGATGGTTAATGGGTACATAAATACATTTAGAATGAATAAGTTCTAGGGCCAGGTGTGGTGGCTCATTCCTGTAATCCCAGAACTTTGGGAGTACGAGGCAGGCAGATCACGTGAGGTCAGAAGTTCTAGACCAGCCTGGCCAACATGGTGAAACACTGTCTCTACTAAAAATACAAAAAATTAGCTGGGCATGGTGGCCTGCACCTGTAATCCCAGCTACTCGGGAGGCTGAGGCACAAGAATCGCTTGAACCTGGGAGGAAGAGGTTGCAGTGAACTGAGATTGTGCCACTGCACTCCAGCCTGGGTGACAGAGTGAGATTCTGTCTCAAAAAAACCCCTCAAACATGAATAAGATCCAGTCTTTTGTAGCATAATAGGGTGACTTTTTTTTTTTTTTTTTGAGACGGAGTTTCACTCTTATTGCCCAGGCTGGAGTGCAAGGGTGCTATCTTGGCTCACCACAACCTCCGCCTCCTGGGTTCAAGTGATTCTCCTGCCTCAGCCTCCCAAGTAGCTGGGATTACAGGCATGTGCCACTACGCTCAGCTAATTTTGTAATTTTAGTAGAGACAGGGTTTCTCCATGTTGGTCAGGCTGGTCTTGAACTCCCGACCTCAGGTGATCTGCCCACCTTGGCCTCCCAAAGTGCTGGGATCACAGGCATGAGCCACCGTACCTGGCCAATAGGGTGACTATTGTTAACATAATTTATTGTATAGCCTGAGCAACATAGTGAGACCCTGTCTCTACAAAAAATAAAAAAAAATTAGCTGGGCATGGTGACATGCACCTGTGGTCCAAGTTTCTAGGGAGGCCAATGTAGGAGGATCACTTGAGCCCAGAGATTGAGGCTGCAGTGAGCTGTGATCACGTCACTGTACTCTAGCCTGGGTGGCAAAGTGAGACCCTGTCTCAAAAAGAAGAAAAAATTTATTGTATATCTAAGTATAATTAAAGAGTGGAACTAGAATGCTCCTAACATGAAGGGACTCTTGAGCTGAGGCTTGAGGGATATGTGGAAGTTTTACAGGTGAAAAAGTGAGAAATGTACATGTAAAGACATAACATACGAGAAAATATGGCTTATTTAAGCAACGACAAATGGTCCAGTTTCATTAATACTAGTATGAGAGGGGAAGAATGACATGAAATGAGGCTAGAAAGGTAATCAGTAGCAGAACAGTAAAAGTAAGAAGTTACCATTTTTACCCTATAGTTGATGAAGAGGCATTGGAGAATTTTGAGGAGGATCTTGATAGCTGATCTGATCACTTGCTCATTCACTCATTCACTCACTCACCAAATATGATCTAGGTTCAATGTTGGGCCACTCTGGTAGCAATGTGAAAAATGAATAAATAAAAGATATTTGGCAGAGAACACCAGCTGTTTTCACCAAATGTACTTCTGCCTGGATACACAGCCAGACCACACATCTCAGTCTCTCTTGCAGTTAGGTGTGGTCATGTGACCTTAGTCTAGTCTATGGAATGTGTGCAAAAGTGAGTTGTGTTGTATTCTGTCCAGGCCCATTAAAACCTCACGTGTGCTGGGTTTTATGCTGGCTGACTGAGTTGAGATCTTGGAAACCAAGTCATGGAGATACTAGTGCTGTCACCAGAATAGGCCTCCCTACTGTCTTGAAACACATACTGGACTGTTAAGTGGGCCAGAAGTAAACATTTATGTGTTTACTTATAAGTTGAGTCATTGTGTATTTGGATCTGTTGCCATTGCTCAGCCTATCCTAATAACACAGAGTGACATAAGAAATTGGGTGAAAACATGAATATCTCAGCTGGGGGCAGTGGAAGTGGGGATAGAGAAAAGTAGGGGAGATAATAAATTGCTATTTAGGACATAGAGTCAACAGCATCTGAAAGATGGTTGGCTGTAGTTGGTGAGATTGGAGGCCAGGTCCAGCATGACTCCAAGGTTTCTGACTTGGGCAACTATACCAAGAAATCCCACAAAGACTAACATTATATCTTACCTTTACCATTTTGACTTGTGTTATTATTATTTAAAATTTCATAAGCTTTTTTTTGAGACTGGGTCTCTCTGTCACCCAGGCTGCAGTGCAGTGGTATGATCATGGCTCACTGCAGCCTCAGCTTCATAGGTTCAAGCAACCCTTCTGCCTCAGCTTCCCAAGTAGTTGGGACTACAGGCACACATCACCACACCTGACTCATTTTAAAAAAAACTTTTTTTGTGGAGAGAGGGTCTTGCTATGTTGCCCAGAATGGTCTTGAACTTCTGGCTTCAAGTGATCTTCTGCCTAGGCCTCCCAAAGTGCTGAGATTACAGGCATGAGCCACTGCACCCAGCCAATATAAACATGTTTTGATTCAAAGGATGTAATATTCTTGCTAAAGATATCTAGCTAGTATACCATTTACACTTATAAACTATTATAAATCAGTTAGTATTTATATTATATTTCCTTATTTAACTATTTGAAATATTTTAATTGTTTTTGTATGTGAAAATAGACAGCTTTTCACAACTGACATTATTATAATTTTACTTTTGTAGTAATACATATTTTTCAACTAACTGATAGAATTTCTGCATATATAGTTTTCAAGATTTTCACTCTGTTACATGTCAAACGTTTATATTTGAAAGTGAGTATTTTGATGTTAACAATAAATCTGAATGACAGACTTTTTCTATACTACTGTGATGTGGTCAAATATGATGGAAACCTATGTGATCACATGGTTGTCAGTATGCACAAGTTCAGGGGTGCCAGAAGTAGCAATGAAGTTGGCATTCAGTTATTTGGTCTTTATTGTTATTTATTTATTTATTTTGAGATGAAGTCTTGTTCTGTCGCCCAGGCTGGAGTGCAGTGGCGTGATCTCGGCTCACTGCAACCTCCACCTCCCGAGTTCAAGTGATTCTCCTGCCTCAGCCTCCCGAGTAGCTGGGATTACAGGTGCGCACCACCATGCCTGGCTAATTTTTGTATTTTTAGTAGAGATGGGATTTCACCATGTTGGCCAGGCTGGTCTTGAACTCCTGCCCTCAGGTGATCCGCCTGCCTCGGCCTCCCAAAGTGCTAGGATTACAGGTGTGAGCCACTGCGCCAGGCTAGTTATTTGGTCTTTCAAAGCTGAGCACTGAGGTAGAAGGACACTGAGAGAATGTCTAGATTAATAAGAGAATGAGGAACGAATAACTAATTAATTTAATAAATATTTATTTAGAGTCCATTATGGGTCAAGCACTGTTCTGGGTATTGGGATATGTTAGTGAAAAACACAGACAGATCTCTGTCTTTATGGAACATACATATTCTCATGTGATGGAATCAAGAAAAGTGAGGAAGAGAAAGCTTCAAGGAGGGAGGTATGATCAACAATTTCAAGTCTAAACAAATTAAAATAGGACTGAAAAATGTCTGTTGGGTTTGGCAGTTAAGGAGTTAAGCTGCTGGTCTAGAGGAATTATTGTATTGGAAGCCAGATTACCATGGGCTGAGTGTGAATGGGAGGTGAAGAAGTAGTGTCTTAGTCCATTTCTGCTGTTATAAGGAAATACTCTAGGCTGGGTTATTTACAAACAACAGAAATCTATTTCTCACAGTTCTGGAGGCTGGGAAGTCCAAGATTGAGGTACCAGCAGATTTCGTGTCTGGTGAGGGCTCATTCTTGAGAGATGGTGCCTTCTATGTGTCCTCACAGAGCAGAAAGGGCAAGGCAACTCCTTTCAACCTGTTGAAAATAAGGTCACTAAGCCCTCATGACTTAATTACTTCCTAAAACATTCCTCCTCTTAATGCTATCACATTGGGTATTAGTATTTTGTATAGTTTGGCTTTGTCCCCACTCAAATCTCTAATTGTAGCTCCCATAATTCCGCTGCGTTGTGGGAGGGACCTGGTGGGAGGTAATTGAATGATAAGGGCAGGTCTTTCCTGTGCTGTTCTTGTGACAGTGAATATGTCTCATGAGATCTGATGGTTTTATAAAGGTGAGTTCCCCTGCACATGCTCTCTCTTGCCTACTGCCATGTAAGACATGACTTTGCTTGTCATTCGCCTTCTGCCATGATTGTGAGGCCTCCCCAGCCATGTGGAACTGTGAATCCATTAAACCTCTTTCCTTTATAAATTACCCAGTCTCAGGTATGTCTTCATTAGCACTGTGAGAACAGACTAACACAGTATTCCAACATATAAATTTTGAGGGGACATGTACTTTCAGGCTATTGTATAGGAATCATTTAGAAGTTCAGCTATTAAGAGAAGGGGAAAGGTCAGTAGCTAGAAGAAAGGCTGAAAGGATATTTGTTGTAACCTGGGAAAGGCTTGAGTGTGTTATGCTGATGGTACAAAGGAGTGTCAACATCTGGAAGAATAAGGAGAATTAGTAAGAGGTCAGTGGTCAGGCATGAGGCGAGGTAGAGGTAGAGAGATCTTTGAAAGTGCCAAAGTCGATGGGAAGGAGAGCTGTAGGGAGAGAGTCTCCTTAGGTTGCTGGAATGACCTTAGCAATATGCTCTCCACTGTCACTAATGGGAAACAGTGACACACGTGGCACTTATTTTCAAGAGCCATGGCAAGAGATGATCTCCAACTCCTGGGTCCTTATTAGGATCCAACCTGCCTAAGCACAGTGCTTCCTTCCAAACCACAGAAAAGACAATCAGAAGTGGTGGGGACGCCACTCAAACCTGAAGCCACCGTGCAGGAAACTTAGGCCTTAGAAATGAGGAAATGGCAGGATTCCTTCTGCTTCATTTTGGTTTTCAGAAAATGAGGAGTTCTGCATAGGAACTTGGAGTGACAGACTCTGAGTGGTAGGATAAGGTCAAGCAGCTTGTTCACTGTTCAAGGGCACCTGGGCTAGGGAACAAATGGGGACCGAAAATCCTCTGTTCATCAAACTCATGCCTGGGGCATAGGACTGCAAAGAGACCTCTCTCTCTCTCTCTTTTAAAGAGACAGGGTCTCACTATGTTGCCCAGGCTGGTCTTGAACTCTTGGCCTTAAACAATCCTCCTGACCCAGCCTCCCAAAGTGCTGTGATTACAGGCATTAGCCACTGCCCTTGGCTTATTATTGTTATTATTTTCTAATTCATACAGACTGCTAGCAGCAATCCTGGCCAAACTCACATACTACTATAGAAGCTCTACCTACTGACTCAGAAATTATTCCTTATCTTTAAGGAGCTTAATTCCACACTCTTGAACACCCGGAACACAATTCTGTTCCCAGGGTGTAGTAGGGACTTCTTGAGTGGGTATTTTTAGAAGTGCTATTTTTGATAACCAAGTAATCATCCACAGATGCGTCACACAAGCAGTAATGTGAATATTAAAGAAACACGTGGGAAACATCTACAACCTCATTAGAAAGCAAAGAAAGTAGAATAGAGCAGCCTCGAGGCAACATTTTATACATAATCATATCAAAATTGAATGATTATGCCCTATGTGGGGAAGTGGGTGATAAAACTTACACTCACAGGGCAGCTGGCATCATTTGAGGACAAACCTGTTTGGAAAGCAGCATGACAACATGCAGCATGAATAATAAAGATGCCCCTCTTCTTTTTCCCCACGAAGTTATCCCATGCCTGAACATTTATCCCATGTTACTAATTCAGAAAAAAGCCTTATATATATGATATGAAGTTGTTCATTGCAATGTTATCTATAATGTCAGATAAATAGGAACTCAAGAAATAAATCATGCACTGATCAAGGAATAAATGAATAAGTTCCACGAAAGGAACATTCCATATAGGGTAGCTTCATAATAATGGTATGCTTCCAGAAGCCATATGTGCAAAATGTGTGCCACTCAAATACCATATACAAATTATACAGTGGTGTCTTTTGTTTTCACAAGTAATCTTAAACAAATTTTTTGCAAGGAAAAAAATCTAGGCATTGTTTAAATGCTTCCAATAGAGTAGTGAGTAGTGGTTCTCAAACTTAATTGTGTATCAGAATCACCTGGATCATCCCCCACTGCCCCTCAGAGATTCTGATTCAGTAGGTTTGGGTTTGGGCCTGAGCATCAGCTTTTTTTTTTTTTTTTTTTTGAGATGGAGTCTCACTCTGTCTCCAAGGCTGGAGTGCAGTGGTGCGATCTCGGCTCACTGCAATATTCACCTCCTGGGTTCAAGCGATTCCCCTGCCTCAGCCTCCCGAGTAGCTAGGATTACAGACGCGCACCACCACGCCCAGCTAATTTTTGTATTTTTAGTAGAGACGGGGTTTCGCCATGTTGGCCAGGCTGGTCTCGAACTCCCGACCTGAGCTGATCTGCCCACTGCGGCCTCCCAAAGTGCTGGGATTACAGACATGAGCCACCGCGCCTGGCTGAGCATCAGCATTTCTAACACATTCCCAGGAGATGCTGATGCTGCTGGTCCTGACACTTTACTTTGAGAAACACTAGTTTAGAAAAACTAGCTTTTGCCCAGGGAATCACAATTATCACTAAGCATCTAAGTAGAAAGCAAAAACAAAGACATACATTCCTTGAGGTCACAAATTGTGTCTTGCTTATCCATGCATCCTCGGCAACCTGACTCCATGCAGTGTCTACATAAATGCTTTTTGAATTGAGTTGCATCCATAGGCAGAAATTTCAATAAACAGTGGGGATCTTCACTTTCCAATTTCTTGTTATCAACTGGGTCATAGTAGCATTCATGTTGAAGCCATCACGGTCAGCACAGGCACTCTGAGCTGACCCTTAGAATAGTCAAACTGCTGCTGAGACTGGGCAATGAAGTAGGTGATGAATTTTGCTGTTGTTATATTCTGTGCCTCTTAGAACACTGAATTCTTAGCAACAGAAGCTGAAAAATCAACCCACTGGCCTAGCAGTGAGGAATGGTAAAGAGAAGTGCCTATGATGTCAGCAGACTTGAGTTTATAAAAGAGATGTACTACAATTAAATAAAATACTTCAATTACAATTAATATCTTTATACAAGCTTCTTTGTATTTTCCGAAATTGTGGAAATGCTAGTCACATGCTTTCAAATTGCTCTGCAAAAGGATTTTGCCAGGGATTTTAAATTTTACTTCTAGTAATAAAGTTTCTTTATAACTTTGCTGATATTGGATGCTATTAATCTTTTTATTCTTTATATTTTAGGGAAAAGTTATTTTTACTGTTTTAAGTTGCATTTCTTTGACTCTAGTGAGGTTAAGCAAATCTTATGTTTAAAGCAAATCATCTATTTGTATTTCTTGTGTGACTTGCTTGCTCTAATTTTTTGCTTATTTTCAATGCAGTTGCCTGTCTTTTCCCTACTTATTTGTAATTAGTTTTTCTGAATCGTAAGTAGTTATGCATTGTTGGTTATATGTTTTCTCAGTCCGTTGATTGTCTTTTAACATTTTTATGGTGCTTATCAGACACATATTTAAATTTTTATACAATTGATGCCATCATTTTTGGTTTTGGCTTCTGGGTTTTCTGACCCACATGAAAGATTTATAAGATTAAAAAAATACTTTTTGTATTTTAACCTTACACTTTATTTTAAAATATTTTGTTCTTTAATCAATCTGGAATTTATTTTTAGTATGGCACGAGGTAGTGATCTAATGAATATCCATTTTTATAATATCATAACTATACTTTCCCCATGAAATGCTACTTTATTTACAATCTTTTTTTTTTTTTTTTTTTTTTGAGACAGCGTCTCGCACTGTTGCCCGGGCTGGAGTGCAATGGCGCGATCTCGGCTCACTGCAACCTCCACCTCCCAGGTTCAAGCGATTCCCCTGCCTCAGTCTCCTGAGTAGCTGGGATTACAGGCATCTGCCACCATGCCTGGCTAATTTTTTGTATTTTTAGTAGAGATGGGGTTTCACTATGTTGGCCAGGCTGGTCTCGAACTCCTGACCTCATGATCCGCCTGCCTTGGCCTCCCAAAGTGCTGGGATTACAGGCATAAGCCACCACGCTTGGCTTACTTTTATAATTTTTAAGCTCCCATAGACATGTAGCATTTTTGAATATTTTGTATCAGTGGGCTAACTCTTTATTCATTAGCTAATACTACCTATTTTAACCTTGGCTTTTTGTTAGAGATTGTGGTGAGCCAAGATTGCACCACTGGACTCCAGCGTGGGGGACAGAGCAAGACTCCATCTCAAAAAAAAAAAAAAAAAGTTTTCCCTTACTGTTATTTAAAAAATTATTGGCTTCTCTCATTCATCTTCTTTTTAAAAATTAAAATTAATTAATTAATTCATTAATTTTTAGAGACAGGATTTTGCTTTATCTCCCAGGCTGGAGTGTTGTGCTCAAACATAGCTCATTGCAGCCTCCAATTCCTGGGTTCAAGCAGTCCTCCTGCCCCAGTCTCCCTAGCATCTAGGACTACAGGCATTCTCCACCATGCCCAGCTAATTTTTTTATTTTTTATTTTTTTTGGTAGAGGTAGAGATGAGGTCTCACTGTGGTGCCCTGGCTGGTCTCAAACTCCTGGCCCCAAGTGATCCTCCTGTCTCGGCTTCCCAAAGTGCTGGGATTATGATGTGAGTCACCATGCCCAACCCTCATTTTCTTTTATATAAAATTTAGAAGCAGTTCGTCAACTTCCAGAAAAGTTTGTGTTGGAATTTTGATTAAAAAATGTATTTTCTGTTTTGCAGTGGGCAGATGTATGCAAACCTATCCTAAAGTTCAAGGAAGCTGAGAGGCCGAAGAAAGAGGCTGACAAATCTAGTTTCTCAGAAAGAAACCTTTAACAGGGATTTAGGAACAGAAGCCATGTCTGGGTCTCAGACAGGGCAGGATGAGATGGTGAGTTCTTTGTGCCATTACCCCTGAGGCCCAGGGCTTATATACCATAGGAGAGGGGTGGTTTGGAAGAGATGTGTAGCGCCATTGAAGTACGAGAACATCAAGATTGTTTGACCTACAGGCAGGATTTATAGTAGTAAGTACCTGCTTTTATGCAAGGGACAATGTAGAGAAACTGGAACTCTCAGAGCCCTCTTGGAACTGGGGTTAATCAGAAGCCAACCTGGTGAAGTAGCATCCAAAGTGAAGTTGCTTCACCCGCCACAATTTCTATTTAAAACAACAGTATATTTCATTTATTTAGATTTTCTTTTATGTCATTCATATTATTCTTGAATGTTTCTTCTTGGGTTTATTCCAAGTTTGTTGCTTTAGGAATAGTACAGTATCTTTTTTCTTTTAACTTTCTAACTGATTATTATAGACAATTAGATATTCTATTAAATTTTGTGGTCTTGTACTAGCCATATTTACTCTCAGATGAGTTTCAGAAATTTCTTAGTTTATTCCCCTAATTTGTTACTTTATGTAGACAATTATATTATCTTCAAAGAATCATCACGTCTTTTCCTTTCTCATATACATATTTCATTAAAAGTTTTTTCCTATCTTATTTAATTTGTTAGCATGGCTAGTAAAATATTTATCGATTGCAGGGATGGCAGGTTTTCTGGTGCTTTGTATTATTTATTTGTTTATTTTTGAGACAGGGTCTCACTCTATTACCCAGGCTGGAGTGCAGTACCAGGATCACAGCTCACTGCAGCCTCAACATCCTGGGCTCAGGAGATCCTCCCACCTCAGCCCCCCAAGTAGCATGGACTACAGGTGTGCACCACCATGCCCAGTAAATTTTTTATTTTCGTAGAGTCAGGGTCTCACTATGTTGCCCAGGCTGATCTCCAGCTCCCGGCCTCAATCAATCTTCCCACCTCAGTCTCCCAAAGTGCTGAGATTACTGGTGTGAACCACTGTGCCTGGACCATATCTTTTACTTTAATGGGAATTTTAAAATGTTTTGGCATTAAAATGGTGCTTTCTATAGGCTTCTACTATATTCCCTTCCAACTTTTGTTAAGTTAAAGAAATGTCCTCTTATTCCTTTTCTAAGTTTCTTTCCTTTTAAAATTGAAATGTGTATTGAAATTTACCAAGTGCTTTTAAGCACTATTGAAATTTGTATATCATTTACTTTGATCTGTTATTGTTATTCTACCTGTATTCTACCTGTACAGGAATATTCTACCTGTATTCTACATAGAATACATAAAATAAATTCTACATATTTTACTTAGAATACACAGAGTAAATTCTACTTTGTCATAACATTTTATTCTCTTAATAATCTGCTGGATTCAGTTTTTCAAATAGTCTATTTGTATGAGCTCATTAGTGAAATTTGCTTATGAAGTATTAATCACAAGTTGATTGACCCAAGGCACCTTCCAGTCCTTGTGTCTATTCAATCTCAATTGAGGTTGTTGTGTGCTCTTCTAGTCTTTATAGTATTTTTCTCTTGCATATGTTTCTATTTTCAAACAATTACTCATGATTTCTAGTCACTGATGAGACTTTCTCCTATTTTCCAGGGCTTGTTGGGCTTATCCTTGTAATATTAAAAATATTTGGATGGGAGGATCAGCGGTCATCTGTGTTCAGTCTATTATCTTGAACCAATTCCAGTATAGTTGCTGCTGTATTTAAGAAAAATTTTATGCCTGTTTTATAACTTTCTGCCCCATTAAATTATCTTTTTTTGGACTAATAGTTTTGTATTAATTGTTCTGAGTGTTTTAGAAAGGGAATGATATTATATAAAAGCAACTTTAGGCTCGGTGCAATGGCTCACACCTGTAATCCCAGCACTTTGAGAGGCCAAGGCAGGGGGATCCCTTGAGCCCAAGACTTTGAGCCTAGGCAACATAGTAAGATCCTGTCTCTACAAAAAAATGAACAAAATTAGCTGAGTGTGATGGCATGCACCTGTAGTCCCAGCTACTTGGGAGGCTGAGATGAGAGGATGGCTTGAGCCTGGGAGGTCAAGGCTGCAGTGAGCCGAGATCACGCCACTACATCCAACCTGGGTGACAGAGTGAGACACTGTCTCAAAACAAAACAACAATAAAAATTTGTATCTCTTTTCCAAAAAGGATATCTTTTTTTTTCCTTTCCATGATCTTATTTTATTGGCTAGAGATTTCAGACCATGTTGAATGTGTATGGGGACAGAGGGTATCCTTATTACTAAAGTTAATAGGGCTCAATTTTGTACATGTATAGAATATTTGCTGCTGGTTTTGTAGACATTTTTTATCTCATTTGAGTTATATCTTTGTTCCCTTTACTTCTAGGTTACTAAGTAATTTTTAAAAAACTATGTATTGCTGTTGAATTATTATCAAATTCCTTTTTGACCTTTATTCAGAAGGTCTTCCTTCACCCCCCTTGACTTATTAAAATAAATAGATTTCCTAATTGAGGGAGATCACCGTCATCCTTTTCTCCATGGTTTTCTTTCATCATCACCCTATTGTCTTTGCAGTGCAGGATGAACAGCAAGACCCTGACAAGCAAAAGGGTGTCTTCAGCCAGTGAAGATGGCAAAATGGATAGACAGAAGTGTGCTTTTCTAGTTGTTTATTTTTTTTGTCTTTCCCATCATGTTAAAAAAATTTTCATCACTCTCCAAAATCCCAGTCCATCCCCAAATAAAACAAGGCCCTGCAGAGAGTCAGCTTTCTGGCTAGAGTGCAAGGTACATGCTGTAGCCATTGGACAAAACGAAGCCAATTGGGTAACAGGATAGAAACCATGACCCTGGCTCTTTATCGATGAAATAACCAGGCACAGACATCACAGGTTTTCTCTTTGCCAGTTCAAAATGCCAAAAAGGGATGCAGGGGAAGAATTAATGAAGATTCTCTCTGATGTAGCTTCTGTACTCCCTCCCCATAGCGTGTGTTTGCTTTTTGAGTAGGGGATTTGATTCTGAAATACACCATACTTGGCAATTTTCTTTAAAGCTTAAACTCTTAGAACTAAGTCTCAGGATTTTCGATGGCCATGGGCAAATGCTTTTTTTGTGGATACTGTTTGATGAATGTGCCCAGTTGACGCCTATGCTCACAATTTCCACAAGGAACATCCTGAACCTTTCTAACTAAACACAAGGCTAATGAATTATGTGTGGGAAACTCTCTCTACCTCTCTCTCTCTCTTTTTTAAGTATGTAGCAGTCATGGAAGTTGAGCCATCTTTCCATTAGTGCATGATTGCAAATGTCTTTCTTAGTATTTAACTACAGGATAAGACAATGGCCTAAAAACTAGGCCCTAGAGATGAGCCTAGTAGGCTAGTTTCCCAAATTGTGAGAGAGTATTCAGGATGTTCTTGCTACCCAACAGTATATTCCATGGAGGTAGATCTAGGAAACTCTGATAAGACTTCCGGGCTGCCACACTCAAGACCTCCAGCACCTTTGCCACTTGAACCAGTGAAGAGTCTCACAGCCTGCCCTAACCACAGCTCCCTTCTGAGAGGAAAAGCTGCTCACAGTGAGTGGTCATAGTTATGGTATTTATCCCCATTCCTACTGCCCCTATTCACACATATACATAACAAGCTAACTTAAGGGTGACCCAACCATAGGCTAGTGACCTTCCTCCAAATGCTTTTATTTATTCTATTATTTTTATTTTAGAGGCAGAGTCTTGGTCTGTCACCCAGGCTGGAGTGTAGTGGCATGATCTCAGCTCACTGCAACCTCCACCTCCCCGGTTCAAGCAATTCTTGTGCCTCAGCCTCCTGAGTAGCTGGGATTACAGGCATGTGCCACCATGCCAGGCTAATTTTTGTATTTTTAGTAGGGACAGCATTTTGCCATGTTGGCCAGGCTAGTCTTGAACTCCTGACCTCAAGTGATCTGCCCATCTCAGCCTTCCAAAGTGTTGGGATTACAGGCATGAGCCACCGTACCTGGACCCCCAAATGCTTTTAAACGAATCACATTGCTCTCTCAGCAAGGAAGAATTGGAACACTGAGAGACTAAGCCAGTTAGGTATCACAGGTGAAGTTGGGGCAGGCTGGATCTTAAGAGACCAAGTACAAGTTAAAGTTTTGAGGGAGAAAAGACTGAGAAAGCAGAGGACAGTGGATGGTAAGAAAGAGAAGAAAACAGATGTGCTGAGAAAAGCAGAGAAGTCCTACACATTAAGTGGCCATGGTTCCTATTGCTTCCCAAGCTCCAGTTCTCATGAGGCACCAGGATGTATTATAGTTTACCGTCTTTGGGAATCTATGAGATTCCTATGTATTCTCATAATATTAATCCTTTGTATGTGTCAACTTGAGTGTTCTTGCAATCAAAAGACCTGGCCTAAGATATGGGCAATGTGGGAAATCCACATTTAGGCAGGCAGTGGAAACTTTAAAACTCTGTCTTTAGTGCCAGCCAGTTACTTTTAATTTGTTTTCCTCATCATAGGAAACCTTATAGAATTGGAGTGTGAATTTCTTGGTGCAGGATGGGAATGCCCAGAGCTTGAGGATTTAGGGTTTACTGGCAGGGCTGAGATCTCTTCACACTCCTACTCAAGAGGCATGACTATCTTCCATCACCTCAAGAAGGTTTTAACTAATGCTTTCAAGATGTGAGTGATTGGTAATTTACAAATGATGCTGGGTAGACTGTCTCTGACATATCCACTTGCACCTCCAGAACTCTTTATATGAGCGATACTCACTTCTCAGTTCATTTGCTCAGTAAACAAAAGATCAAAGGGGAAAAAAAGGTAAGAATTAATAGTAGGAAATGAGCATTTTAGAGAAATGTCTGAAATCAGCTGAGTGCAGAAAGAGAAAGCTTGAATGTGATAGACATCAGCTCTAGAAATTTTCTGAACACTCTAGGATTCTTATGAACCTGCAGCCATCCTTCAAGGCCCAATTCATAGGGTATTCTTTTCTTGAATTGGGAATTGAAGGGTGGATAGGATTTAGATATGCTGACTTGAGAGCAGTGGCATCCCTTGTGGAGAAAATAGCATGAGTGAAGATCTGGAGAGGGTCGAGGCCACTATGTGTGGAAAACTAAGGACAATTCAGTTTAGCTGTGGGGCTAAGGGTACACAAATGGAGGAAGACGCATGTTAAACCAAAAAAGTAAATTGCGGCTTAACCCCTGTAATGGCCTCTAGGCAGGCAAAGTGAGTATCAGAGTTTCATGAGTGAGGGAGGGAGTGATTCATTAGCTGCCTTTAGGAATATTAACTTGGAAACACTGTGTTGTGAGGATTAGAGTGAGGAAGGAGTGGACATTGGGAGATCTGGCGCAAGATAAGAAAATAGGCTGGGTGTGGTGGCTCATGCCTGTAATCCCAACACTTTAGAAGGCTAAGGTGAGAGGTTCCCTTGAGTCCAGGAGTCTGAGGCGAGCCTGGTCAATGCTGTGAGACCCCCATCTCTACAAATAATTTTTTTTAATTAGCTGAGAGTGATGGCATGTGCCTGAAGTCCCAGCTACATGGGAGGCTGAGGCGGGAGAATGGCTTCAGTCCAGGAAGTTGAGGCTGCAGTGAGCTATGTTCTCACCACTGCACTCCAGCCTGGGTGACAAGGGAAACCCCATTTCAATCAATAATAATAATAACAATAATAATGTAGTTTTAATAAAAGGAGAACAGGAAGAGAGCAGATGAAAAAGAAATTAAATTACAGAGAAATGGCTCAAGTAGGCCTTGAAAAGAAGCAGTCTGTGTTACCCTTGGAAGTTGCCTGCTTGTGTTGTTGGCAGGATAATGGTACTTTTAGGAAAGTGGAGAATGCCAGAGAAGGAGAAGGAAGTGAGGAGGAGGAAGAAATAGGGGAGGAGAACTCATTCTTGAATCAGTTTAAGAAGCTTCAAAGACTCAATTGATGAGTGAACATCAGATTTAAATACACCCTGTCTCCATTAGGGAGATACCCAGAAAGATGCACTATGTCATGGCTAAATTAGGCTGAGTTTCATGTCTGCATGAAGAGAAGTGTATTGGTCTATGTCTGTAACATATATATCACTAAATTTTTCAATGTTTTTGTAATTTGTATAAAAATCTCAAAAAAAAAAAAACAGTCTTTTTTTTTTCCCAAGGGGATTAAGCTATCCTATGGCGTATAGCCTTGGGTTTTTATTTCATTGTAATAATTTTCTAGTCACTTAAAAAGTTCTTGCGTATTTAGAATTTATTACTCCAAGTTTGAAAAATCTAAGGCTTTGTGTCTTAGCACATTGCATCTCTGTTAAGACATTCTTTCCACAAAGACATTAGAAGGATCTCTGGAGGTGACTGATGAAACAATAATTTTGAGTGGATTTAGGGTTTTAATTACTGTTTTATTTAATTGTGAGTGGGCACTGTGGAAAAAAAATCCATCAACAAAGGAAACAATTGTTCCAAAGAATTACATCTGCATTTATTCTCTGTCAAAAATTTCTCATTAAAAATGTGTTTCTTTAAAAGTAACTCAAAGCAGCTGATGAAATACAAGAGCATGGAAAGTTTCAAATCCCAGTGCAAACTGGATTCATCCAAGATCATTTGCCAGAGACTTGACTCCATGGTAAAGAGCTTCTCACCATTTCTCACATCCATTAACTGGGTTTCATACTTACGCTCAGATGCTGGCAGTTTTATTTCCATAGGTGGATATTTTCCACTCAAACACTTCCTTTTCATAATACTTTTGATGTCTCTAGAGCATTAATACTGTTTGACTTTTCTCTTTAGTGATGACTCTGACTCATGTTTTTTTTACTTTAAGAGAGTGGGTGAAGAAAGAAAGAAGCCATAGGCAGCTCTACTAAAGAGGTGAAAATCCTAAAGACCATTCCACAATGTCTGAACCACCATCAAAGACTAGTGTGTGAGAAATGACAGTTACTGAGATTATTCCCAAACCATTCTCTAGTTTTTTTGGAAAGATCAGGCCTGCATGAGAGGCCACTGGGGTAAATCTTACAAAAAAATAAGACTGTAGGAAAAAATAGAACTACCATTTGATCTAGCTGTCCCTCTTTTGGGCATAAACCCAGAGATAATGAAATCACCACCTTTTTAAGATATCTTCACCCCCATGTTCACTGCAGAATTATTTACAATAGCCAAGATATGGAAACAACCTAAGTGTCAATCAGTGGACAAATGGATAAAGAAACTGTGGTGTGTATATACAATGGAATATTATTCAGCCCTAAAAAAGAGCAAGATCTTGCCATTTGCCACAACATGGATGAGCGTGGAGGATATTATACTAAGTGAAATAAGCCAGACACAGAAATACAAATACTGCATGATCTCATATGTGGAATATGACCTCACATGTAGAATATGCTGTCACATGTGGAATCTAAAAACAAATTCACTGTTGGGCCCTGTGACTCATGCCTGTAATCCCAGCACTTTGGGTGGCTGAGGTGGGAGAATCACTTGAGACCAGCCTGGGTAACATAGTGAGATCCTATCTCTACAAAACAAATTTAAAAGATAGCCAGGCATGATGGCACCCACCTGTAGTCCCAACTACTGAGGAGGCTGAGGTGGGAGGATAGCTTGAGTCCAGGAGGTCGAGGCTGCTGTGAGTCATGATCATGTCACTACATTCCAGCCTGGGTGACAAAGTGAGACTCTGTCTCAAAAAAAATAAATAAATAAAGTAAATACATTGAAAATATTTAGAGACAGAGAACAAAACAGTGATTACTGAGGCAGGGGTAGAGAGTGAAGACGAAATGGGGACATGTGGGTCAGAGGATAGAAAGTGGTAGATATGTAGGATGAACGAGTCTAGAAATCTCATCTACAACATGAAGATCTTAGGTAATTAAATTGTGCTGTGTATAGAATTCACTGTAAATGAGTAGATTTTAGCTGCTCTTGCCATGGGTAACTATGTGAAATGACGACTATGTTAATTTGTTTTCACTATAATAACCTTTTTACTATCTCTGTATATCCCTTAACATGTTATATACCTTAAATATACATAAAAACGTTTATTTTTTTAAAAAGATTACAGAAAAACATCTCTTTGAAGCTGGCACTGCTGATGAAAACTAAAGCAATAGATGGAGAAAAGAGGACGATAAAGAAAATTTGGGCTGATATTCTCCAGAAAAGGAAAGGGTGGCCACCTTGTCAATGGATTTGTTGAGCACCCATTATGTGTGGGAAGGGATTACCAAACGCTACAGAAATCTCTGTCTTGAGGTCATGTAACAGTCTATTGAGGGAACAAGGCACATATATACCAAAATGATTTAAATAGCAAGGTAAGAGTAGCATAATAATTCTCAGCAGCTACTGAGCGTTGTATAGACATTGCTTATTTAATACTTACCAAATCAGCCCATGAAGTAGATGGGTTTGTTAAAATGTATTTGCTGACTGGCAACAGAAAAGCCAAAAAAATATATACTGGCTTAAACAAGTAAGGAGGTTATTTATATCATGCTACAAAAAGCCTAGAGTTTGTTGCCCTGGTTAGGACCACCTGGGACACAGTCTCCTCCATATTTCTGCTCTACAGCCCTTAGCTCCACAGTCATAGTTGCTGCCCATTCAAGCATCACATCTGTGTGTAAAGCAGGATGAAGGATGGTGTAACGGGCGTGGGGCACTTATATAAGAAAAGGAATGTTTTCCCAGAAATTCAAGAATACTTCCTCTTATATACTATTAGCCAGAACAATGTCAGTAGGCTACCATCAGCTTTAAGGAAGCCAGTTGCTTGAGCATTTTAGCTGGGCACATTGTTACCCTGAACAAAACTGGGGCTCTATAAGAAGGAAAAATGAGGAGAGAACTTACATTGGGAACATAAATAGCAGTGTCTGCCATGGTGGGTTGACTATGTCATTTTACAGATAATAAACTGAGGCTCAAAGAGGTTAAATGGTTTGCTCAATTTATCATACAACCAGCAAATAGCAGAGCCAGGGTTAAAACCCAGATGTGAGTGAATCCAAAGTTTTTACTCGTAACTCCCATTCATTACTGTCATGTGGCGCTTCAAATGAATGATATAAATAACTTGATGGTAAATGCAGGGTGGGAGTAGATCAATACGATTTTGGTAGGTAGAAAATAGGGAGTAAAATCATGCAGAGAGAAAGATTTTTCCTACTGTTGGAGGCCTTTGGGGGACAGGAAAAAGTCCAAATTGATTATCAGAGAGTTATTGTTAGGGAAGAATGGGAAGAAAGCTCAGAAAGAAGTGCTGGGACACCAGGCTTCCTTGATAGCTCCCAAGTAACAAGTCCAAAATGGAATTTCTGATTTCTCTGTTCCCTAATCCACTTTATTCTCCATCTTTTCCCATCTCAGTAAAATTCACATTTATATGCCCAGCTGGTTAAACAGAAAATCTGAGGGTTGACATTCATCCTTCTGTTGCCCTCACTCTCACATCTGCAAGTTCTGAAGTATTTACCTCCAAAATATCTCTCACTATGTCCTTTCTGTCACTATCTCTGCCCCTTGCTCATCCAGCTTGCCACCAGCGTGTGCTTGAGAATGGAAACAGCCTCCTCCTAATGGGTCTGCTTGCTTCTTCTCTTGTCTCCTTTAGCCAGTTCTCCACTTGGCAATCTTGAATGAACTTTAAACATTGTAAGCCAGATCATATGACAGCATCCACTTAAAACCCTCCTGTGGTTTTTGTTGCACTTGGAAAGGACCCCAACTATGTCTTTGGCTTAGACCCCAGCTTTGTTTGTGACCCTGCACAGTCTAGTACTTCCTTACCTTTCCAATCCCATCTTGCACCGCATTCACCTTTGCTCACTCTTGGGCTCCAATTACAGTAGCTTCTTTGCAATTGTTGAAATGCTTCTTGCCTTGCCCAAGATCCTTCTTTATGGTTTGGAGTACTTTACCCCTGGTCAACTCCTGTTTCTTCATATTTATGCTTAAACATCATCTCCTCAGGCGGGGTTCCCCACGTGCTCTCTCTAAATCCAGTCCCTCTTGTTCTTCTCTATCAGAAACTTAATGATTTCATTTTTTTTCACATTCAGATTACTTTCCTACATATGTAATTATACCTTTATTTGTTATTTGTTTACCTTTTTCTGGTCTGTCTCCCCTGCCCCCTATTAAGAACAATGAGGGCAGAAGCTGTATTTGTTTTGCTGCTGCTATATATCTGGTAACACAGTGCTTGGCACAGAGTAGGTGCTCAATAAATGTTTGAATGAATGAATGAGTGAATGAATAAACAACTGACAAGATTGACTTGGCAAAGTCTCAAATGCCAGTAGAATGTGTTGCACACACAATTAGAAATAAAGCTTGTGGGCCGGGCGCGGTGGCTCACTCCTGTAGTCCCAGCACTTTGGGAGGCTGAGGCGGGAGGATCATGAGGTCAGGAGATCGAGACCATCCTGGCTAACACGGCGAAACCCTGTCTCTACTGAAAATACAAAAAATTAGCTGGGCGTGGTGGTGGGCACCTGTAGTCCCAGCTACTAGGGAGGCTGAGGCAGGAGAATGGTGTGAACCTGGGAAGTGGAGCTTGCAGTGAGCCTAGATTGCGCCACTGCACTCCAGACTGGGCGACAGAGCCAGACTCCGTCTCAAAAAAAAAAAAAAAGGAAATAAAGCTTGTGGCCGGGCACGGTGGCTCACGCCTGTAATCCCAGCACTTTGGGAAGCTGAGGCAGGCAGATCACCTGAGGTCAGGAGTTCGAGACCAGCCTGGCCAACATGGTGAAACCTCATCTCTACTAAAAATACAAAAATTAGCTGGGCGTGGTGGCGGGCGCCTGTAATCCCAGCTACTTGGCAGGCTGAGGCAGGAGAATCACTTGAACCTGGGAGACGGAGGTTGCAGTGAGCCGAGATAGTGCCATTGCACTACAGCCTTGGGGACAAGAGCAAGACTTTGTCTCAAAAACAAAACAAAAACAAAAACAAAAACAAACAAACAACAACAACAACAAAAAATCACAAAAGAAATAAAGCTTGTTAAAGCAATGTTTGACAAGAAGGATTCATTTTATTTACGAGAATCAAATCCAAATGGCAGGTGGGGGATGTCTCTATAGCAGTTACCAGGATGGTCTCTGATAATTTTATGGAAACAATAAGAACTACATGTATTTAATTCTATTTTAATTTAACCATTCTATGTTCAGGGGGTAGAATTTTGATGATGACAACTACTTCCTCTTCCCTGGAGCACTGTTGAGAAACATTGCCCAGTGTGGCCCTGGGGAGCAGTTTCTGTTCTGGCCTGATCTGGATTCCTCTTCTCCCAGCTTCTGCTGACCTCCTTCTGACTCTGATGCTGGTCCTTAACCGACACTTGTCCTTAACCTACGCTGCCTGCTCAGGAATCAGTCACTTCCTTCTTTCAGGGTCTTTATTACTTACTATTTGCGGATGATTCTTGGTGTCTGAAATGTGATTGCTCAAATTTCACTTTACATAAGTCTGCACCAGTTGATATTTAGAAAAGTTTTACTTCCCTCTAATATATGCGCAAAAAACTGCCTGCTTGTTCAACATCTATACCTGAGTTCTTTGCCTCAGTAATAACAAGGATGATATCTACAGCAATAGTAACATAGCTTCTACTATTTAGTACTTACTATGTAAAAGGCATTGTGCTACTCCTTTGAGTAATTAACTTAATATTTTCCACAGGTGAAGAAGCTGAGGTATACAGCATGTATTAAATAGAGTGTGATAACTACTGTAACACACAAAGCCTTATTTTATTGCTCATGTCCATGTACCTTAGTGGTCAAGGGTGTCTACTCCACATAGTTATTCACGGATTCAGGCTCCTTTCATATGGGTCTCAGAATCCTCCCTTAGGTCCTCTGAATCTGGTGGCACTGACAAGACAAAGGAGAGAGGAAGTGGAGATCATACAAAAGGGTTTAGAACCCAGGCCTAGAAGTAGTGTATTCCTTCTGCTCAAATTTTATTGGCCAGGAATCAATTACATGCCTTTGTTGAAATGCAAGGGGGCTGGGAAATATAATCTTCTTATACACCTAGGAGAAGAGGAAACAATTTTGGTGAGTATCTAGCCAGTCTCTGCCACACAGAAATTAAACAACTTGTCATACAATAAATAAGTGCAGATCTGGGACTCAAATACATATTGGTTGGACTAGAAGCCTAAGCTGTTAGGCACATGTCTATCCTCTCTTTACCTGTATATGTACATTTTTTAATATAAAAACTTTTATATATATATGAAAATACATTTTTAAAGACTGTGCTGCAGCCACATGGTGAAAGCAAGTTTATAGTCTGCTCTTCGTCAGGAAGACTCACTACCTGATTAAGGGCCAGGCTGAAAATGTCTTCTTTGATGAGACAGAAAAATGCATGCTGTGACACTTCCTGTGTGAAGCCATATAACCTTCCTTTTCATGTCAGCAGCTCAGGGATCCTGTTCCTGCTTAACCTATTCCAGCCAGAGATCATGAGATCATATTAGACTAAGGACTTTGGACCTTATCCTGTGGCCAGCCTGCTAATGAAACTCTTAACTGGATGCATTTAAAATGCAAGTGATAGTCTCTCTTTGCTGTATGGGGAGGGCCTTACACCAGTGTAATGGGTATAACTTTGTTCTATAAGTTCAGGTGTGTAAAAAATGTACTTTACATTTTCCTTTAACTCAAATTACCATATTTTATTAATTCCAATACATGCCTTTTTGTATGCTAACATCTCTGAAATGTGGATCTAATAATTGATGGCATGTTTGAATTGCTATTTGCTGGGTGGCAGTGCTGATTTATTTGCCATTGTCTGTATGTGTGTGAACATGGTCATAGGTATTTAGATATTGTTACCTCTTTAGTTGAATAATATGCACTGTTGGTATTACCCAGGCAGAGTTTAGTTGCTGTTTGCAATATTTTCAAAAAGATTATCCTGAGTTTCAGCAATGAAATGAAAACTTATAATGAACAGAAAGGCTCAGAAACAGTAGTGGAGTGTAAATATAGTAAAGCAAAAAAAAATTATAAGAATCACTTCAAAGCTACAGTGTCATACAGAGTAAGAGAATTAAATTACTATAAGTATACGAAACTGCGATACAGAGTTATGTTAAAAAGCATTGCATGTTAGTACATGCCAAGCAAGAGCGCACTCACATTAAACCTTTTTGTTTTTTTTGTTTTTTTTTTTCTTTGAGACGGAGTCTCCCTCTGTCGCCCAGGCTGGAGTGCAGTGGCACAATCTCAGCTCACTGGAAGCTCCGCTTCCCGGGTTCACGCCATTCTCCTGCCTCAGCCTCCTGAGTAGCTGGGACTACAGGCGCCCGCCACCGCACCTGGCTAATTTTTTGTATTTTTAGTAGAGACGGGGTTTCACCGTGGTCTCGATCTCCTGACCTCATGATCCGCCTGCCTCGGCCTCCCAAAGTGCTGGGATTACAGGCATGAGCCACTGCGCCTGGCTCACATTAAACCTTTAACAATGGGTGACAACATCTTGGAAGAAAACCTGGAGTCAAGAGTGAGGATACTAGTAAGAAATGTTTCATCACCAACAGAGAAAAATAGTGAGGAGAAAAATATAAACAGTGATGTGGAAGAGTTAGACTCTGAATGAAGAGATATGTTTAGGAATTTCTTAATACATTTATTTTCTTTTTTATGTGTACAAGAGTGACATGTAATAAAAGTCTACGTCCCAACAAGTCTTAAAGGGCTTCTCCAGCAAGTATAAAATAAAAATTTGAAACAAAGAGAAAGCATTGTTTCATAGATTAATTGGGGGCATCTTTCTTTCTTGGTGGCACACAAATTAATGATGTATTTTACAATCGATGGCATTTTAGTATCAATGAAATAGCTAACCTCTCATTTGCACTCCCATTCCTTTGAGTATTGGAAATTAAATTTCAGTCAGTTAAGCACCACCTCTTCCCATGATTACCTTGCATTTCCTGGGGGCTTACGTATGGAAGCCCCTGAGATGACCATCATTCGGCCTGGTTCCTGGTCCTCAGGCAACAGAGATCATTGCTAGGGACATTTCGTTCTCATCTCAGAGCTCTTTCAAAGCTGGCTGGCTCTTTCTGCTACTTCTGTGTCTCTCTTGGATGCAGTTCCTTGGACACAGGAACTTACTAAGGCTGATAAGGCCCTAGGCTTATCAGTGGGCCCTTGGGAGCATAAAAGGTATTCTGTCCCTCCATGTCCTGCTGGGTGGCTGGGTAGCTGAGTACTGGTAGAATTCACTCCTCGTGAGTGCTCTTAGGCATACAGGAATCCAGCCTCTCTTCTGCATCATTTTGGCATGGGGAAACTTAATTGCTTTGGGCTGCTTAGATCTCACATGGCCACATTTTCTCCTATGACATCTTGCAGCCTCCATGACTTTACCTGGAGAAAGGGGCACACATATCATCAAGCCTGCATGGGGTTTGAGGCATTTCCCTTCCCATTCCCACAAGGTCAGTGGGTTGGGCCAGGCTGCAGGACCCACTGTCGGGGATCCACCGGTGTCCAGCTCTCTTAGCTTGCTTTCCACGTCTCCCTTTCATCCTAGTCTGGGCAATGTTTTCTAATATGGAGGGTCAGCTAGACTTTCTCTCAATTTATGTCCCAAATTCTTCTACTCCTCACTAGCTTTGGGCTCTAAAACCCAGGCCAAGAACAGAATTGTGGTTTTCCTTTCTAAGACAGGGTCTCATTTTGAGATAGGGTCTTAGGTTTTCCTTTCTTTTTGAACAAGTGGTTCTGAATGCACAGCTCACTGAATGGAAGAAAGGTCTGAGTGAAAAGAAACATGATAAAACCACACTGAGGAGCATTTCAAAATACTTTCCTAATGCAAATTCTTACAGTGCCTACTCTTTCACTCTTATTTTAACATGTTCTTTTTGGTCAGTTTCTTACATTGCTTGTTTTCTATATCAGCAACCTGGTGGCTGATTTCAATGATCCATCAAGGCTCCTTCCATTTATTTTCCCTAATCACCTCAGTAACCAGGGTGAAGGTATAGCCATTCTCTTCCGCCTCTTCTCTCTTTTTTTTTTTGAGATGGAGTTTCACTCTTGTTGCCCAGGCTGGAGTGCAATGGCGTGACCTTGGCTCACGGCAACCTCTGCCTCCCAGGTTCAAGCAGTTCTCCTGCCTCAGCTCCCGAGTAGCTGGGATTACAGGCATGCACCACCATGCCCAGCTAATTTTGTATTTTTAGTAGAGACGGGGTTTCTCCATGTTGGTCGGGCTGGTCTCGAGCTCCCGACCTCAGGTGATCCACCCGCCTCGGCCTCCCAAAGTGCTGGGATTATAGGAATGAGCCACTGTGCCCAGCCCCTCCTCCTCTTTTTATTTTTATAATATAAGGTTTATAATTTCTATTTCATTGAAAGAAATGAGTAACATACAGACTAGTAGAAGAAAGGGAAAAAAATACATAAAACTTCACTAAGACATCCCCTGGTTGGTGACATTCTGTTGTTTTTCCTTCTAGTTATTTTTTAATGCTTACTTGGCGTGTGCGTGTGTGTGTGTGCGATTAGCATTACATCAGACATAGAACTGTATATCCGGTATTGTTCATTCAACACTATGACTATTTTTCCTTATTATTATAAAATCTTCAGAAACATCAGTGAGTTGACGCAGCAGAGTTTACTCAAACCATTTGCCTAGTATGGAGCATTTAGCTTATTCTCACTGTTGTGAGAATATTTATACATAAATAATAGCATTATGATTGATATCCTTGTGCATGAAGTTTTTCCTACATTTCTGCTTATTTTCTTGAGTTAGTCTCCCAGAATTGGGATTACTAGAAAGACTACCGTTATAAAAACATGCTATTTCCCTGGACTTCATGCAGTATTTCCTCTCCAAATACGAAAATCTTTTACCTGGATACCCTATATCACAGGCTGTACTTGATGTTTCCAGTGGGGAAAAAAATCCAACTGCTGCTGATGCAAGAACATTGTATATCCTCACAAAGGCAAGACTGATGATACAAAAAATATAAAGCCAAAATCTTTGTCTGTTCTTTCCCCCTTTATCGATAGTTATAATAACTTCTCTGAGAGCAGTATATACTATTTGAGTGGAAGATTTCCACAGGCTTCTTTCGTTCACCTCCAGCTTCCTTAGATCTTGACGGCTTTTTCTGATCTCGTAACAATAATTTGCCATTTATCCATAGGAGGAGATGTTCTGTACCTACAAGTGGAAAGTCTGACTCAAATAGTTACTTCTAAAGTTATATTATTTTAAAATCTAAGCTGAAGTTCCATGGTGGATTTAACTTTGAAGAAACACCCAAAGCCAATCCATTCAAAGCATTGTGTTCTCCAAGCAGCTACTGTAGGTGGCTGAGCTCATACTCCAACAATGTGTCATCACTCCAGATGTCTTAGGCCTCCTCTTCTGAAACTACTGTCAAAATCTCTGGCACGTTTTTGAATATCCTCAATGAAGAAAAATCTTAATCTTTTTTGAGGAAGAATTGGATCTTTTGAAACTTTCAGTAGTTTTCAGAATCTAACTGAGTGGACAATGAGATGAGTGGGAAAATGGGCAAGATTTAAAAAAATAAATCACCACAGTACTATTACAAAACCATGAGGCTGATTTTCTTGTGTGACTAGTAAATAGCACAGAATATGAAAACAATTCTCCCAGAGTAAGGAGTCAGATTTTAAGCTGCAGTAGATCATTAGGATATGAACATTAAGGAACCTGATGGCCAGGTTGAGACACTTATACTCTGAAGTGTATGTGTATATATTTAATTTAGGCTCATTCCTTATGAGTGATGCCATTTAAATGAAAACATGTGCATATTTTTAAAGAAAACTCAGCTTGAGATAAAGAAATAAAACAAAATCTATGTATTGACATTCATGGGCTTAATTAATTATAACAGTCCAGGGAGGACTCTGCGTCTTTTAAAACAATGTCATTTTATTCATTTAAAATAAGTACTACATACTTTTTATACAGAATTTGGAAAATCCAGAAATTTCTTTACTCAGAGCTATTCCCTCATAATATATATATTTTTAATATACTTAATTTTTTAGAGCAGTTTTAGGTTCACAGCAAAATTGAGCAGGTCAGAGAGTTCTCATATACCCACTTCCCTAACACGTGCAGATCCTCCCCCATTATCAACATTTCCTGCCAGAGTAGACATTTGTTACAACTGATGAACCTGCATCAAGATAACATTATCATCCAAAGTCCATAGTTTACAGTGGGGTTCATTCTTGTATATAGCATGAGTTTGGACAAATGTATAATGACATGTATCCACCAAAGTATGACATAGAATAGTTTCATTGCCCGCCAAATCTACCACGCTCCATCTCTTCATTATATTTTGATCTAAATATACCTTAGATTGGGTTCTCTGGAAACAGACTCTGAGAATTGCCTGCTGAATGCTTACTGGGAGCATGCTTTCAGGAGATGCTCCTTGTAAGAAAGTAAGGAAGGACCGCGCTGTGCAGAGGAGAATCTGACTCCAGATGCAGTTGCAACTGAGACTCAGCCAATCATGGAGGGAGCTGTGGAGCTGGGACGGCCCTTTAGAATTGACCCAAAGTAAAGTAACTGGCCCGGCTTTTGTATCCTTGCATCAGTGAGTCATTGGCCCCCTAGAGGGGCTAATTCTGGATGATTCTATTTTTTGGGGCCAAGGACAATTCCCAATAGGGGATGCAGCTGTGTGCTATCAGCAGTGATATTCCCAGCAGCTGGAGAGGGACAGGTACTTCACAAAGGGGAGTTGGGCAAAGACTGCATTCGGTATCCACTGCAATGTCATGTTAAAATTGGGATCATACAGTCCATGCAACTTCTCCACCTACTTTTTCACTCAACACTATTTGATGAATTTTTCCCATTTTGTTAACCTCTCTTTGAAATCAACATTTTAAATATCTGCTTATTTTATCATATGAAAGTATCATTTATTTAACTGTTCTCTTATTGTTGAACAATTAATTTTTGACACATTTTCACTATAATAAATAATATAATGAACATCTTTATATCTTTGTAATATACATGATACTAATAAAAATAAACTGTATTTAATTGAGAATGCTTACTATTGACTATGTCAGGCCAATATCTTTCTTGCCTTCCTTGTGGAGTTTTTACGAGAAATAAATGAGAGGCTGGATGCGGTGGGTCACGCCTTTAATCCCAGCACTTTGGGAGACCAAGGCAGGCAGGTCACTTAAGGTCAGGAGTTCAAGGCCAGCCTGGCCAACATGGTGAAACATGGTCTCTACTAAAATACAAATATGAGCAGAGCATGGTGGTGTGTGCCTGTAATCCTAGCTACTCAGGAGGCTGAGGCGTGAGAACCTCTTGAACCTGCGAGTGGAGGTTGCAGTGAGCCAAGATTGCACCAGTGCTCTCCAGCCTGGTTGAAAGAGAGAGACTCGGTCTCAAAAAAAAAAAAAGAGAGAAAATAAATGTAAATTATGTTGCACTTTTAAACTCATTTGATGTTAACTTTGTGATGCAGAGACCATTGTCATCTCCATTTTTCAGATGAGGAAACTTAGGCACAGAGGTTAAGTAGATCATCTAAGTGAGCATTAGAATAGTACAGGCACTATAAATCCAGAGTTTGAGCAAAACATGATACTATTTCCCTCATCCTGCTTTTCTGGTGCTTTTCCTAAGTTTATAACCTTAGAAGGAGAATTCCATAGTCAAGGGCTTGACTTACTTTAAAGCTCATGATAAGAATTGCCAGGTTATTTCCCAGAAGTAATGAGAACTTCCACCAGCAGAGTATGAGGGTTTTATTTCTCCATAGTCAACAACAAAGAACCCAAATTCTTAATTAGAACCATGATAAAGAATAAGTAATCTATTTTCTTGTCTTCCCTCAGGCATTATGAACATTCATTGTTCTTAAGCAGGCCTTTCCCTGGTTTGTTAGCATGCTCAATTATTTCAAGATCATCTTCTAAGTGTTCACTAAAATGGATGACATACATTTCAGAGAAGAATTTTTTGTTTGTGGAACGAATGCATGAATGAGGACAAGGAGAGGCCTGGATCACAACTTTGTACTGGAATATCAGGAGTTGTGTAAAGCAAGGAAGCGGAGACTCTGCAGAACAAAGCCCCTTCAAGACAAGGAAGTGATTTGTGACAATTGACCATTTTTCACATACTCTTCATTGGGGTCTTTTAAAATCTCAGTTGAATTCCTTATGTAATAAGCACTCATTGCAGTCCCTTTACCTGCCAGACTCTATCATGTGCTTGAAAACATTGATGTTTAATTCTGGAAGGAATTCAGGGTCATGTGATCCCATCCCTTATGACACAGAGGAGGAGCTTCAAGCCAGTGCCACCTCGTTGGGGCCTTTCCCTCTCCTGGGGGTGGACTGTAGGAGATGTGGGGAGGGGAGGATGGTTCTGTTTTCCTCCATTCAAGGTCAGAGGAACTCTTCAGAAATGTCTTAGAAGGCAGTCAGAGTTATTTTGTATTATTTTAGCATTGACTTAGACTGATCTTACCCTCACATAACTCCATAGTTAGTTCATTTCTGAATTCTGAGAGATTTCTTTGGAAACCCACAGTTTTTCCCTCACTTCTAAGCTTTGGCAACCTCTTTAAGTTCATTTACTTGCCATTCCCTCTACCATATAGGTTGTTGTGAGGCTGAAATGAACCCAAAGTATTTAAAATTCTTACAGTAATACTTACAAACAGTAAACAATTTATAAATATTGACTTTGGTTTCCTCCCTTCTTCTCTGCTCCCCATTTTCCTCCTTCCCAGAATGGTGTATAGCTGTGAGATATTTCTGAACCTCAACTTCCTCATCTAAAAATCATAAATTATACTTTACTATATATTCACCACACAGGGTTTTAGTGGGGATCAAATGAGGTAATCCATCTAAAGCAACTTTCACAGCACCTGGCGCAGAGCGGGCAGTCAATAATTTGTAGCTGGGATTACTTTAAAACCTGTTAATGTGCTTTAAGTCAGTTATCGAATTTTCTGCGCTGTCTAAAAGAATGAATCATATGCACTTGATTAATTTTCAGCCCTGTTGAATTTATTTCTTTTCTGCTCAGCTTTCCTGAGGTACAATTGACAAATTAAAATTGTGTATATTTAAGGTGTACTATGTGATGTTTTGATATACAGTAGTTCCCCCTAATTCATGGTTTTTCTTTGCATGGTTTCAGTTACTCACAGTCAACTGAGGTCTGAAAATCAGTGAATATAGTACAATAAAATATTTTGAGAAAGAGCGAGAGAGACCACCTTCATATAACTTTCATTATAGTATATTGTTATAATTGTTTATTTTTTTGCTAGTTTTCATTGTTACTATCTTACAGTGCCTAGTTTATAAGTTAAACTTTATCATAGATATGTATGTGCAGGACAAAACATAGTACATGTAGGGCTAAGTATTATCTGTGGTTTGAGGCACCCACTGGAGATCTTGGAACATATTCCCCTTGGATAAGGGGGGACAATTATATGCATAGGTTTGGAGTGATTTCACAATTAACATATCTGTCACCTCATACAGTTATTTTTTTTTTATGATTAGAACACTTAAGACCTGCTCTCTTGGCAAGTTTCAAGCATACAGTCTAGTATTAACTGTAGTTACCAGGTTGTATATTAGATCTATAGAACTTACGTCTTTTATGACTGAAATTTGGTACCCTTTGACCAAAATCTCCTCCCTGTATTGTATCCTGCATCCCCTGACCACCTTTCTACGCTCTGTTTCTATGAGTTTGATTTGTTTAGAATTCATATGTAAGTGATATCATGCATTGTTTGTCTTTCTGTGTCTGGCTTACTTTACTCTGCATAATGTCCTCTGGGTTCATCCATGTTGTCTCAAATGGTAGAATTTTCCTTGTTTTTTCAGTTAGCTCTGTTGAATTTAGATAAAGTATAAAGTTGATATAGAACGAGCATAACATAGATTTCATGGATGAGGTTAATTTCAGCCCTGTTATCTTCAATTTCTGTGTTTTTCTCATCTCTTTTTAAAATTTTTTTTCTTTCCCTTTCTCTTAGTCTCTATTGTTTTCTATTCATGATAACTGAAGTTCCCTTTTCCTATGGTTCAGTTTGAGTAGTAACTTGTGCCAGTGATAAGCAACTGAAATGACTGATGCCAGGCCATTGGCCTCTTGGTTGCTGAATATGTCAGATTCATTCTCCTGGCATCTGGACACTGCTGGACCCTCTTTTCCTGGGCCCGAGGAACAGCATTCCCTCTTTTTTTTTCCCTGTCTCTCTTCTCTGTAAAAAGGCCCCTCAGGGGCTTTTCCTCTTCCTTTACTACTGCTAAGTTCAGAAGTGCCCTGAATTTCCTGTGCAACTGTCTTCTCTCCTCACCTCCTACTCTTTCTGGGTAAGCTTCTCTCTTCCTGTGAGGGCTTCATCTGTATTGTGTTAAGCCCCAAATCTGTGCCTCTGACCTAGACTTCTCAGCAATGTTTAGTGAGAGGACATCTCATCTTGGGTATGCCACTGGCCAGTCCAACTCAATGGGTAGAGAATGAACCCATCATCGTTTTCCCCCAAACCAGCTCTACAACTCCAGCCCACAACCACTCTGCAACCACTAGTGCAAAGGTTGGTAGTTCAGAGGACACAATAGAGGGAATAAATGATGTATTTTGACTTTTCCAACTAGACTCTCACTTTAAAAATGTCATCTTCTCTATAAATACTGATTCAACCCATAATTCTTTTCTCTGCACCTATCTATGTTATATTATAGAATTGATTTTATTCTATTGCTGTGCTTCATTTATGTTTCTTTCCTTTTAGACCAGGGGTCAGTAGAATTTTTTGGTAAAGGGCCAGAGAGTAAATATTTTAGGCTTTACAGGCCATATGGTCTCTGTTGCAACTACTCAACTCTGCGGTTTTAGTGTGAAATCAGCCATAGACAAAACAAATGGATGAGCGTGGCTGTGTTCCAATAAAACTTTATTTACTGAAACAGGCAGTGGGCTGGATCTGGCCCACAAGCCAAGAGTTTACCGACCCCTGGTCTAGACTGTGGACTCCTAGAGAGTTACTTCATAAGAATTTAGAGTTTAGAGAGCCTTTTACCTGCCAGATGATGCTAGAGGTCTGAGAATCTAGAGACAAATGCTCTTCAGTTCCTGACCTCAGGGATCTCCCATGGAGACCAAGCGTGTGCTGTGGTTGAGGTGCAGATTAGTCTCCTAGGGCTGTCCTAACAAAGTGTCACAACTGGGAGGCTCTAAATAATAGAAATGTATTCCTCACAGCTCTGGAGGCTAGATGTCTGAAATCAGGGTGATGGCAGAGTTGGGTCCTTCTGGGTGCTGTGAGGGTGAGTCGGGCCCATGCCTCTCTTCCAGCTTCTCGTGGCTCCTTGACTTTGTAGATGCATCACTCCAATCCTCTACCTATACCTGGAGTTCTCCATGTGTCGTTCCTTTGTACATCTGTCTCTGTGTCCAAATTTTCTTTCTTTCTTTCTTCCTTTTTTTTTTTTTTTTGAGAAGGAGTCTTGCTGTGTTGCTCAGGCTGGAGTGCAGTGGCACAATCTTGGCTCACTGCAGCCTCTGCTCCCTGGGTTCAAGGAATTCTCCTGCCTCATCCTCCAGAGCAGCTGGGATTACACATGTGTGCCACCATGCCCAGCTAATTTTTGTATTTTTAGTAGAAATAAGGTTTCACCATGTTGGCCAGGCTGGTCTCGAACTCCTGACTTCAAGTGATCCGCCCGCTTTGGGGCCTCCCAAAGTGCTGGGATTACAGGCGTGTGCCACCACATCTGGCAAATTTTTTATTTTTAGTAGAGACGGGGTTTCACCCTGTTGGCCAAGCTGGTCTCGAACTCCTGACTTCAAGTGATTTGCCCTCCGTGGCCTCCCAAAGTGCTGGAATTACAGGCGTGAGCCACTGTGCTTGGCCTCCAAGTTTTCTTATTTTATCAGGACACTAGTCAGATTAGGGACCACCCTAATGACCTCATTTTAACTTGATTACTTCTGTAATCTGTAAGATTCTGTTTCCAAATAAGGTCACACACAAAGAGTCAGGACTTCACAATATCATCTTTGAGGGACACAGTTCAATCCATAATAAGGTGTATATATTAATATTTACCATTTGTATACCAAGAGAACTGAGGTGAGGAGGATTCATCCTGCTAAACAATGGGGGAGAAGAAAACGGAGGGCACAAAAACCAACACAACATTTGGCCTGGATGGATGACTAATATCTTGCTAGACTACAGAAATAGGAAAGGAAATTCCAGGTTGAGCAAACAACTTGAGCAAATGCAGGAGGGCAGGATCATAAGAACAAGAAATGTCTTTTGAATAATTACCCTGGTACAGCTGCAAAATGGTGAGGTTGGTAGAAGGGGCTCAAGTTGATTCTAGAAAGATAAGCTGGGGCAAGACCAAATGTGTGTAGGCTTCAAGAGCTGCTTGCATGATGTTTGTTGACTGAATGAAGTATCGAAGTCGAAAATGGGAACAGTGGTTGTGACAAATTCTTGGCTACGAAATCCCTTTCATTCAGTCTCTGGGGGCTAATTGTTGCAAGTACTTGTCAGCGTCTGGACCACTATCCTGCAATCTCTTTCACCAGTGCACTTGGGTTCACAGCTCCCTCGTAATTTTTATGCTTCCTTATGTGTTAGAAGAATGCAATGACAGTATAACTGAAGGTCTAGCCCATAAGCAAATATTCTCTGATGGAAATATGCAATATGTTTGTCTTTTGGTAATAATAATAGCTAACATTTGTTAAATGTTTACTCTGAACCAGCCACTGTTATAAGCATCTTATGTATTAACTCATTTAATCCACATGCTCCTGCATGAGATTCTAGTATCTCCACTTAATATACCAAGTAACTGAGCTTCAGAATGGTGAACTGGCCAATGTAACCCAGTTGGTAAATAACTATTCTCTAATCATTAGATTATATGCTTACTTCTCCCTTTGGCCTTCCTGTCCCCTCTCTCCTGCCATACTTGTCTTCCCATGGCCCCTCTTGGGTCATTCAGTTTGCTTTTGTTCACCTCCAATCATCCATCAATTAGTGTCTGATGTTCAGATTCTTCTCTGTCTCTTACTTCCCGTTTTCTCCCCTATTCTTATGCTTTTCCCCATTTCTTGGTCTTTCCTTCACTGTCCCTGTATTGGCTTATTAGTTTTTCCTACTTCTGGTGTCAGCAATAGATCCAGTTATTTTAAAGGACCTTTCCTTTTTCTTAATCCTCATTTCTAAATTCTTACCAGCTGCATATAAAAACATAGCCCCAGCCAGGTGCGGTGGCTCACACCTGTAATCCCAGCACTTTGGGAGGCCTAGGCAGGAGGATCACGAGGTCAGGAGTTCAGGACCAGCCTGGCCAGCATGGTGAAACCCCGTCTCTACTAAAAATACAAAAAATTAGCCAGGCATGGTGGCGGGTGCCTGTAATCCCAGCTACTCAGGAGGCTGAGGCAGGAGAATTGCTTGAATCCGAGAGGCGGAGTTTGCAGTGAACCAAGGTCGTGCCACTGCACTCCAGCCTGGGCAACAGAGCGAGACTCCATCTCAAAAAACAAACAAACAAGCAAAACAAACAAACAAAACAGCCCCTGCAGACCTCATAGCTAACACAATCCCTGGTTTTGGAGAGGTGGCGGATAGTCAATGGGCTGCATATTCCAACGTAAAAATAAGAAATGTCATTGTAGCCATGTAAGTCTCATTAAAGAGGATTATGGAAATGCTGACAATAATAAATTTGTAAGACACGTAAGAGTGTATAAAATACTGCCGCATCTTGTGCTAGTAGCCTAATTTCTGGATTACTGTTTTTCTGACATTTTACACAAGGCTTCATTTTACCTAGTTCAGTATTTAAGATTGAGATTTTTTTCCTAAATGTGTCATTTCTGATTCCATCGAAGGAGTAAGTTTAGAGAAACCTCATGGCTAATCATGCAACAGTAGCTTGCCGGAATAAAGGCCATGACGTTTTGGAATTTTAGAGGAGTGAGTCTTGAGACCAACTCTAGGATGGTGGTGAGAGGGAGGAGGGGTGGACAATGGGGCCATTTTCAAAATCATTACACTAGGTTAAGTTAGATTTTTCCTATAAAGCCTCCCTGAGGTGCCCTTGTGTTTTTTTATCTGGCAACTTTCTTGGATAGAAAATAAACAGAGGACTTTTGGCTCCTGTTCACCACTGTACCTACAGAAAGCAACGTTTTGGAACTTGCAAGCAGCTTATGTGTGCATGAGTGTGCGTGCAGGAATTTTCTGGAGAGGCATGAGGCACTACTTTAATTCCCATGGATGCTGTTTGTTCCCCAGAACGGAAAATGTTCTATTTTTGGCCACAAGACATTTCTGAGAAAAAAAAAAGTTAAACAAAGCATGGCGACAAGCTCGTTCGTGTCGTTGTCTGAGTTTCAAGAAGAGTTTGGTGCGTTTCAGGGAAGAACTTCTTCATGGAGGCAAGGGGTTGGAAGTGATAAGAGAAACTCTTTAACTTGGAATCCTGAGATAGGACTTGGGTTTCTGGGCAGAGGTTGCACAGGTGGGTGGGTCCTGGCTGTGAAGGCTGCAGCCTGGCCTTTGATTGGGGGTGGCAGGTTGACAGGTGCAGAAAAAAATTCTGTTGCACCTGAAAAAGGTAAACACTTGAAGATAGGTATTCTCTGCCTGGCTGCTTAGAATGAACTTATCTGGGGCTACAACCTAATATTTCCCCCAAAGCAAGAAAGCCCTGTTTGCATCCCTGCCTTAGCATTCCTGTTGGCCACAAGCCTTTGTGGGGAAGGACTTCTAGGGGCAGGTTTCCAGCAGCCTCTGATCTCCAGATAACTTGACCGGGCCAGTCACATAGTGAATGAAATCATTTTGGGCCCTTCCCCCATCAGACACTTTTCCAGGAAATAGCTTTTTGCTGCCATGACCTCTTTTGCTGCTGTTTGATATCCTTGATATGAAAAATGTGAATGGAGACGAGCACCCCATTAACCAGCAGCTCTTAGGCAGCATTGCTTGTTGGAGGTATCTTTTCACAGAGGTGAGCCGGCAGCGCCCTGGGCATTATGGGAGCATCCTGAAGGTACGGGGCCTCGTGCTGCAGCCATTGGAGTGGCTGGCAAGAGTGATCACAGAAACTGTAAAGCCCTAAGCCCCTGGAAATGGAGCGCCCTGCGGCTCTGATTAAGGCTTGTGGAGAGGGAGCTGTATAATTGGATACCCTGAAGCAAACCTCGAGCAGAATCCTGTAAGGCAGCTTGGGATTTTCTCTCCCCAATGTGCTGTTGAAACATCCGTGAATTCCAGTTGGTGGTTGTTTTCATCTGCTTCAAGCCTAGCCCTTGGGTACAGATGCAGCCGTGTTTCTGGGTAATGTTTCATTCTTGGTAGGAAGGGCTGTTTCCTTCTCATGAAGTGATTCGATATCTTTGGAGTTACGAAATGAAGTGCTGGTGAGACCTGTTGTTACTTGTTGTTCCTTAGGCAGAGCGTTTCTGAGGAGCCCTGTTCTTGAAAGCAGCACTGAATTGACGCCTTGCGAGCTTGGGAGTTTTCTTCTTGGTTAACAGTCTTTTGAAACATGTACTTGGGATTCAGGAACTTGCATTGCACGGGTTCAGAAATGTGTCTGTCCCGCATGACCTCCGTTACTTGGAAGCAGCTGGGTATCTTGTGCCTTTATCCTCATGTATTCAACAAATATGTATCAGGTGCCTACTATGTGCCAGGCACTAGGGCAATTACCAGGCAGTCTTGCTGATGGGGGAGACAGACCATACATAAATATCTTCCCATGCTGGAGAGTACTAAGAACAGAGCCAGAGAGAGAATAGTGGTAGATATATTTCTGGCAAGGGTGGGCAAGGATGTTCTTTCTGGGGTGTGTGTGTGAAATTTAAGGTAATATCAAAAGAAGCCAGTAATGTGAAGAAAGGGGGATGGGAATGAGACTTTCGGGTAGAAGAAACAGCAAGTGGGCAAAGGCCCTGAGGTGAGAGAGCTACACCTGCCTGAGGAGCCTAATAGCACCTGTGAAGCTGGAGCACAGAGGAAAGATGAGAAACCCCTGAGATGAGTTTGGAGAAGTAGCCATGGGGCTGGATCACATAGTGCCCTGTGGGCCAAGAAAGGAGTGTGAATGTTAACCTAAGAGTGTCGGAGGGCCTCTGGAGGGCTTGAAGCAGAGGCGTGACATGATCTTCCTACAGTTTGGAAAGAACAGTCGCTGCTGTGTGGAGACTGGATGGGGTTGGAGGCAAGAGTGGATGCTTTAGAAGGCTCTTCCCAATGTCCAGGCAGGAGCTGACAGTGGTTTAACCCTGGGCCAGAGGGGTGGGGTGGGATGGCAGCAGCTCCTTCCTATCTATGTTCATTCTGGTCTCCTTCCATGTATTGTCCTTCTCACCACTGTTTTCTGGGGGAAAAGCTGGCCTTCTTTTACAAGAGCTTCATGGTGGACTGCTACTTTATTTATTTATTTATTATGAAACAGAGTCTCGCTCTGTTGCCCAGGCTGGAGTGTAGTGGTGTAATCTCGGCTCAATGCAACCTCCGCCTTCCGGGTTCCAGCAATTCTCGTGCCTCAGCCTCTCGAGTAGCTGGAATTACAGGCACGCGCCATTATGCCAGGTTAATTTTTGTATTTTTAGTAGAGACAGGGTTTTGCCATGTTGGCCAGGCTGGTCTTGAACTCCTGACCTCATGTGATCTACCCACCTCGGCTTCCCAAAGTGCTGGGATTACAAGCATGAGCCACCATGCCCCACCAGGACTGGTACTTTAGACTCTTCCAAAGTTATTTAAGTAAATTGATCCATGTGATTATCTCAGTAATCCTGTGAGGGATACAGGGAGCTTAGGATATTGTCCTTCTGTGACAGATAAGCACGAGGGAGGTTCTGGAGGTTATAGAGAGTTCCTAGCAGAGCCAACTTCCTGCACACCCAGCCCAGGCCTCTCTGCTGCTCCATGGGACCTAACCTGTAGACTTTTGGTTTTGTACTGTCACTGTGGATTATGACTTTTATTTCTAAAAAAAAATTGTTAAAAAGGTAAAATCTGATTCAGGGAAATACAAAAGAAACACCCTTTTTTTTTTTTTTTTTTTTTTGAGCCAGAGCCTCTTTCTCTCACCTGGGCTGGAGTGCAATGGTGTGATCATGGCTCAATGTAGCCTCGACCTCCTGGGCTCCAGTGATCCTCCCATCTCAGCCTCCCAAGTAGCTAGGACTAAAAGCCTGTGCCACCAAAGATTTTATTTAATTCATTCATTAATGAGGGAACCAGTAAGATGGCATATCCTGTTCAAAGACTAAGAAGTGAGGATATTTATAGGCAATTTAATAAAAAAATTGTTAGGATAAGATTACTGGGTTAGATATAAACTGGTTAATGTCCAACAGGCCACAAATCTTTGAGGTTATATGTTCCAGCAGACAGAAATGATCAGTGTCTCTACTGGACAAAAATATACAAGATAATAGATAAATTCACTAAGTCAGAGACCTTAAGTCACTGGCAAGCAATGAAATGAACTAAGTATATTCTCCTGGGAAATTCTCTGGAGGACTTGGAAAGGTGTGCCACTCACCATTTTTGCCTTATTTCCAAGTTTTAGCTAATTTTTATGACCCCGTTACTCAGAGCAGCGATTCCCTTGGTATAATGCCTTTAAGATGATGTTTATGGAACACCTGGGGATTGAGGTCAAAAACCAATAAGGAATGGATACATTAAAATGCAACTCAAACTCCCCCAGAATGAGTTGGGACTCAGTCATTTATCAGACATCTATTGAGTCCTGCTCATGGGTATGCAGAGCCCTGTGCTAGGCTGTGGGAGCACAAAGCTTAATACAAAACAGTTCCTGCCCTATGGACCTCATAGTCTAGACAGGGAGGCAGACACGTAAACGGACACATTCCAATTCATCGTGATAAAAGCCAAGCAGAGATGTGGGGATTGTGTGGGCGCTGGGAAAGAGAGCGGTGCCCTCACCCTGAGAGATCCAGGGGCACTTCACAGAGAAGTTTTGGTTTGAGGGATGGGCAAAGGGTTGCCAAGTTGAGAAGGGGTGTCACAGGGAGGGCCATTTACGTGGGATGTCAATGACCACCCTGATAAATAGCATGGATGTGAGTAAAGAGATTTACATTTTTGGTATGGCAGATTTTAAAATTTATCCTCAATTCTCACAGCTAGTCTTAGAACGCTGAGGTTCTGGGGGGTGGGGAGGGAATGGGAGTGGAACAGGGAAGGAGAAGTTGGAGTCTCTTGGGCAAGCTTGCAAAATTTTCTTCAAATATTAGGTCAAATTCTCTATAAAAACCCTATTTAAAAGTTTTTGAAAGACTTTGAAGTCCCAAAGAAGCAGGAAGTTAATTAGAGTGGCTTTGATATCTTAGGGTATGTTTTAACAGCTGCTTAAGACAGTTTAAACAATAAGAACTTATGTGGTTTGGGATGCGTCTGTGATAGTCAGCCCCGGCCAGAGTGTAATATCATTGCATCTGAGAGTTAACAGCAGTTGGCTTTAATTTTAGAAAGAGTTCAAGCCAAAAAGTTCTCTAAAACCCAAGAGAGGAACTTCTAAAGAGGAAGATTGCTCTTGAAGAATGTGTTTGGGGGTCAAAGATGAATTGAGTAGGGAACAAATGATCTTAACTTTGTCCTCGCAGGAGCACAGAACATGCCCTTTTCTGAGCAATTCTCTTAAGTTGTGTTTAACCAGGGACATTTGTTGGCAGCCGCCATTTGCAAAGGGGTCCAAATGAGGTGAATTAACATCTGTAAGGAACACTTGAATAACACAAAGGGTGTCCAACCAATTTACATTTCCTGGGAATTGTCATTGTGCTTGAAGTAGTTTGTTTCCTTCCTCAATACCCTCAGCCTTCTTCAATATTTAAGACGTTTTTGACATACTGTTTCTTAGCCTCTTCCCCTGGTTGGATCTCCTCTATGCTGGAGAAGAACATGTTGAGAAATACTATGATGAACAGTAAGGATCTGCCTGGGGAACGGGATTTCAAGAGACGATGGGAAGGCTTGCTCTGGTGGCCCTATGTTGCTGCTGCTGCTAGGGTGCTGATGACGGCCATGATGATTGTGGTGGTGGTGGGTAGTTGATAGTGATGATAATGATGATAATGATGTTAGCTAACATTTGAGGCTAATATTTATATGATAGGCACTGTGCTGAGCATTTTATACTCATTCTCATGTGGTAGGTATATTTCCTCCATTTTACAGATGTGGAAACTGAGGTTCAGAGAGTGCCAGTGACTTGTCCATGCGTCCTTCCATCCATCTTATATTTGGCTTCCATTGAGTTTCCTACTTCTCCACAATTTACACAGTAGTATATTGCATCGTCTACCTTCATATGCAAAAATAGACTAAAAACATAAAAGTGGTTTGTAATAATACCACATGTTCTCACTTATACATAGGAACTGAACAGTGGATACTCATGAACATAAAGATGGCAGCAATAGGCACTGGGGACTGCTAGAGGAAGGAGGGCAGGGATTGAAACCTGTTGGGCACTATGCTCACTAACGGGGTGACAGGATCATTCATACCCCAACCTCAGCATCATGCAATGTACCCATGTAACAAACCTGTACATGTACCTTCTGAGTGAATCTAAAGTAAAAGTGGAAATTATGTTTTTATAAAAGTGGATGTAGAGAGGTACTTTTGGTAATGGGCCAACGACTGGCTGACAGATGACTATATTATTCCATTCAAGAGAGACAAATCTATTTTCCAAAAATACTTCCTTGGGAATGTCATGCCAGTCTTCCAAGGATTTCCCATTTTCCACAAAATAAACATGAAATTCTTCTGCCTGGACCATGCGTCCTGGCCACTCTGGTGGGATATGAGTCTGGGGCCTAATTGAGTCCTTGCTTGCTGCTGCAGTTGGAGAGTGTCTTGTGAAGGTTACTGTTTGTTTCTTTAAAAAGTGCCATCAGCACATCTTTTCTGAAGAAAAGCTTGGGTTTATTAATAAAATGAAATGAAAACTACACAAGACCACATTTTGGCAGCACACACACTCACGCTGAATGGACTGAGAAAAGATTGGCATGGGTCCTTCCTCAAAGGTAATGTGACTGTTTTTAAAAGTCTATCTTTGGTAGTAGCCATGTGAAGAACTTTAAAGTAGTTAGCTTTGTGAGTAGGGTGCATTTGTAAATGGGGAAATTCATAAAATGTCCATGCATAGACAATTCACTCCCACAATTAGTGAAGTTTTCTTGATAAAGTGTTGACCTCAAACTACTTCTCTACTTTTTTTTTTTTTTTTTTGCAATTCCTTCCTTCTTCCTTTCTTTTCTTTTCCTTTCCTTTCCTTTTTTTTCTTTCCCTTTCCCTTTCTCTTCCCCTTTCCTTTTCCTTTCTCTGTTCTTTTCTCTTTTTTTTCCCTCCTCTATAGACATTATAAGGTGAGTGAATGGGCTGCTCAAGTTCAGTGAGGGAAAGGGTATAAAAGATGCATAAGGAAAGTTTATATAGAAAACATAAAGGGAGTCATCCTTCTTAAAGGAGTAACATTTCCCATATAAAGGAGAGGGCTATGACTAGGTGTTCTCCAGCTCAATGTCTGCCATAAACCAGGGGCATGAGGTACAAAAATAAGGGAGGCTCTTAATTTGGCAACTTCTCTTTTGTCCTGTGCTTACTGGAGTTTTTGCCTATTTCTCAGGAAGCCTTCAGTGTTCATTGTGTGGGGGATGTTCTTTGAGGTCCCTGTCTCCTCTGATTTTACATAGTGTGGTAGGTTCTGATTCTTTCTTTGTCTGATTTACTGGGATAGGCTTTTCTCCTGACCTGTGACGCACAAATTTGGGTGGAAAATTTTGTCTAAAGTCTACACGTTACTCTGGAAAACAGAGCTTGGTTCTTCTTTCCTTTTGGCTTTAAATTTGGCTTTATCTTGCTTTTATTGGTCCTTGAAGTTCTAATAACCTATAGGTAGAAGATATTCATAGTATGACATCACTTCATCAAAAGCAGCCTGAATTCCATGCACTGTAGTAAGCCCTCTGTAATTCATAACCTATCCTATGTTTCTTGCTTGAGGGATTACATCAGCAATGACATGTTAGGAATCAGCTAGTGGGATGACTTGGGTAGGGACTGCTGCTGTTGCTTCAGAAAGCTAAAAGGAATGGGCTCTTGAGTGTGCAAATGGATGCATTTCATTACTACCATTTTATTTAAGAATTCTGGTGTTTCCAGATTTTCAACAGGTATTAATCTTTGAGGATGAGAAATCAAAACTCCCAGGAATTCTTAGGAATTC